>NT_167208.1:0-164239 GCF_000001405.40 Homo sapiens | reverse complement strand
GAATTCTTAAAAGGAGTCTATGGCTCAGTAGTTAAGAGTAGTTACGGTATTCTTGACTTCACTTATGTCTCAGTAGCCTAAGATTTGACCTCTACTTGTGAGAATTATATTAGATGGTCTATGTAAAGCTTGAAGCATATTTTCTGGGCAAAATTTAAGGAATTTTCTAGGTTTGAAAATCCAAATTTAACAATGCTGTTCAGAAATAGTGTGTTTTATTATTAATAACATATGCAATAAAAATTCTAATCTATTTAATTTCAGGGATTTAGAAAAAGACCATGTACTACCAAAATAATTTCATCTGTTTGAAATTGCATTTTTCATATCAAAATGGCACAAGTTCCTTTTATATTAAATGCATTGAAAACCCTCAGCTTCACACATTTGAATATTTCTATTTTACTGACAATTTATTTACTATTGGGAGCTACTCATATTGATTTAAACATACACATAAGTTTATATTTATATTTTTTTCTCCTTTTCATCACCAGAAAGAATGTTTTAGTTCCTATTTAATGGAACCATCCATTTTTATGTCTTTAAGTCATACATAATTTTTTCTTTGCTATTCCTCCATTGTTTCTGTTTTATATAATTATTAAATAAATGTCAATTGTTTTGCTATCTGAAGAATGCAAACCACAACTGCTTCTGAAGACCCTATCATATCTAGCTTTTAACCTACCAGTTATGCACCTAGCATCAAAAACACCATTTCCTCCGAGATTCACAAGCCTACTGAAATCACCATAGTTCTTTAGTAAGCATCAGAAGCCTGGAGTATGGATGTATATTTTTCTCCTGTCTTTATTATAAAACCCCTTAGAAAGCAGTGACATTTACTAGATCAGGGATTAAACACTATAATCTACTTGCAGTGGGAGTCATTAAAATGTTGACCCAACTTTTCACAGAGTTGCAACAAGAACTGTGAAGTGTGTCTTTGCTATTTAAAGTGGGAATGCACTCCTGTGATGTAGCAATGTTCATTGGAGAAAAGCACAACTGGGACTGGCCTAGGAGAAGAAAACATTGAAGCAGTCATTTGCAGAGCATATGGGGAACAAAAATTACTCCTTTAGTTATGGAAATATTCCCATATTTATGCCCCAGTTTGCAAAGTCCAACAATTGGAAAATTATTCTTTTAGGCTAAGGCAATTTGTCTGCAGCAAATACTTGCTTACTGGAAGTTGCGTATTAAAGGAAGTATCATGCATTAAAGTTTCTGACAATACATTAAAAAATTAGCGCAAACTAATACTGATAGCTGTTTCGAGGGATAGGTGAATCATAGAAAGGGGGACGTTGGAAAGTCCAACATAGCCAGGAGGAGAGAAGAGAGGTAGTATGTAGTACCTTAGATGAATAGTGTAAAAATTAAATTATAAAAATAAACTTTAAACATTCAGTTCAATGCTTACTACAAGGAAAGTACTTAATAAAATATAGTAGAAATAATAGCAGGGATGTTTATAATAATTATCATTATTTTTGAAGTGTTCATAATGGATTATCCAGGAAGATACAGATGTGGATTCACAACCCAAAACCATAAGCCAAGGGTCTTGCCATATTTACCTGCAGGTCAATCATTTATCTGTGGCTTGCTCTCTAAGCACGACTTGTTTCCCAAATACCTGAAAGACTGAACTCTTCACAACTGTCATATCCATCGTACATTCCCCACAGGTCTGGCAATAGACCCCAAGAAAATCTTCCCTAGCTGACCACATTTCTAGCACTCTTTGAAATAAGGAAGCACGTTTAGTTTTAAGATGTTTTTCCTTCTACGAAGAAAAAGGAAATGATTTTTTAAAAACTTAACAAAACTGGTATAAAGATTTAATAGTTTTCTAGTTGTCCCTTGGTATCCATAGAAGATTGGTTCCAGGACCCTCGCTGATACCAAAATCCATGGATGTTCAAATCCCTGAGTTAAAATGGCATGATATTTGTATACAATCTAAACACATCCTCCCATATACTTTAAATCATCTTAGATTACTTATGATGCCTAATACAATATAAATGCTATGTAACTAGTTGTTATACGGTATCACTTTCTGAATTTGTATTATTTGTATTGTTTTTTATTAATATTTTGGATCCGCTATTGGTTGAATCCAAGAATATGGAACCCACAGAAAAAGAGGTCTAGCTGTAAATCTAAAATATGTATCCAATTGTAAAACAAAAAATAAGGATATATAGTAATTATTAGAGTAATCCTGGAAAACTGTATAAATCCTGGAAAACAGGTATAATTATTATTAGAGTAATACTGGAAAAGGCAAGAGAATAAACAGAAAAATAATAGAAATAAAAATAATTCAAAAAAAAATAATTCAGAAAGAGAGCATGAAGGAGTTTTTTGGTATTAGTAACCTGTTGTATATCTTGGTTGTGGTGCTGATTACATAATATATATGTATGCTAAAATTAATGGATTGTTTACCAGAACAAAGAAAAGGTCCATTTTACTTTAAGATAATTTTATAAAGTAGAATTTTAAAAAGTAAACCCAGATAATTCAGTACATGGGCAAATTTCAAAATGAGAAAATAAATTCAATAACCTTCTTATAAATTATTCAACAATATATTGAACTTAAATATATTGAACTTAAATATATTTAATTGTTAAATAAATATATTGAACTTAAATATATTTAATTGTTAAATAAATATATTTAACATTATATTAAATATGTAATATATTAAAATGTAATATGTTAAAATGTAGCCAAAAAGAACCTATTCAAATGAACAATAGGCTATATAAAGTAAATAGGAATAATCTTAAACAGAAATGTGTTGTTTATAAATGACAAAAGCTATACTATTCTAAAAAAAGAAAAAAGTTGACAAATACATTTAAATACTTATTATGGTATTGGAGAAAAATGCAACATCGTTCAACACATACATTTTCCCTCCTATAAAATGAAATTCAATAAACAATGAGATATTTTTGAGTTCACAAAATAATTTTCAAAATTTGTCTCAAGGCAAATCAGATTAAAGTAGTCAAGAATTAGAAATATTATTTCGTTTGTTTGCTTTATGTTTTGGTTTTTAGCTAACTTAAGCTTTTTTTATTCGTACAAATTTATGGGATACGTGTGGAATTTTGTTACATGTATGTAATGCATAGTGATTAAGTCAGGATATTTAGGGTGTTCGTCACTCCAGTACAATACTTTTTAAAGTATAGTTATCCTACTCTGCTATCAAACATTCAATTTATTCCTCCTATCTTATCCTTTAGTGCACTTCTCTTTATTCTTTCCCCTGCCCTTTCCACTCACTCTTCCCAGTCTCTGTGATCTATTTTTCCACTTTCTACCTCCACGTGATGAAATTTTTTTAGCTCCTGCATATAAGTGAGAACATGGGATAGTTACCATTTTGTGCCTGGTTTATTTCACACCAGTTTTATCCATGTTGCTGCAAATGACATTATTTCATTCTTTTTTATGGCTGTGAATAATATTCCATTGTGTATATACACCACATTTTTTGTTGGTTTGTTTTGTTTTCTGTTTTATTTTTTCATGATTTTTATTGGAGGATATCATCATGAAATATTCTGTATTTTGTATGTTACTGGCTTGATAATAGATCATGCTCGGGAATTATTTCAGAGCTTCATCACCTCTTCCAAGCACCACTTGGGACCTGAGTACCCCAAACATTGCTGGGTACACCTGCACATCATGCTACTGCCCCTGCGCACCAGCACATCCCTGGCTGCTGAGCCGTCCACCTTGCCATCTTCACTGGTCAACAGTTCTGCATGCAGTTTGAAGAGCTTTGCAAAATCCCTCACCAACTTCACAAACCCTGAGTCTTTTTACTATCACCTTCATAAGCCCAAAACCCCACTTAGGTTGGTCTCATATCTTTGCATTGTGAAAAGTACTGCAATAAACATGCGAGTGCAGGTATCCCCTTGGTATATTGATTTTTTTCCCCTTTGAGCAAATACCCAGTAGTAAAATTGCTGTTTCCAATGGTGATTCTATTTTTACTTTTGTGAGGAATCGCCATAATGTTGTCTACAGTTGCTATACTGGTTTACATTCCCACCAACAGTGTAGAAGGGTTCCTTTTTCAATCTGTTATATTTTGTTTTGCTTTGTTTTTGTTTTTGTTTTTAGGAATAGTCATTATGACTAGGGGAAAATAATATTTCATTGTGGTTTTGATTTGCATTTATATAATGATTAGTGATGTTGAGCATTTTTTCATATATCTTTTGGCCTTTTGTATGTCTTCTTTTGAGAAATGTCTATTTATATCCTTTGGCCACTTTCCAGTGGAATTTTTTTTTCCTGTTGAGTTGTTTGGGTTTTTGGTAAATTCTAGGTATTAGTCCACTATTAGATGAACAGTTTGCAAATATTTTCTTCCATTCAGGAGGTTGTCTCTTCACTCTGCTGATTATTTCTTCTGCTGCTCAGAAGCTTTCTAAGTTAATTAAGTCCCATTTGTCTATTTTTATTTGTGTTGCTTGTGGCTTTTGAGGTGTTAGTCATAAATTCTTTGCCTAGACAAAAGGCCAGGAAATTTTTCCCTAGGTTTTCTTCAAGTATTTTTATAGTTTCAGGTCTTCTGTTTAAGTTTTTAATCTACTTTGAGTTGATTCTTGTATATAGTGAGATAGTGGTCCAGTTTCATTTTTCTGGATGTGGCTATCCAATTTTCCCAGCACCATTTATTGAAGAGTGTGTCCTTTCCCCAGTGTCAGCTTTGTTGAAGATCAAATCTGCAAACAAATTATAAAACTGTAATATCTAAGTAATATTGGAGAAGCACAGAAAACAACTGACAATATAAGGGACTTGAGAACAATGAATTATATATAGACCAAGTATATATAAGACCTTACAATATTATAATGTGAATATGTTACCTGAATTGCCAAAAGGGACTTTGTAGATGGATTTAAGGTTGCTAATCAGCTTGCCTTCCAAATGCTACCGGAGGTACAAAGAGGAGCTGGTACCATTCCTTCAGAAACTATTACAAACAATAGAAAAAGAGGGACTCCTCCCTAACTCATTTTATGAGGCCAACATCATCCTGATACCAAAACCTGGCAGAGACACACATAAAAAAGAAAATTTCAGGCCAATATCCCTGATGAACATCAGTGCAAAAATCCTCAATAAAATACTGGCAAACCAATTCCAGCAGCACATCAAAAAGCTTATCCACCATGATCAAGTTGGCTTCATCCCTGGGATGCAAGGCTGGTTCAACATACCCAATCAGTAAACATAATCCATCACATAAACAGAACCAATGACAAACATCACATGATTATCTCAATAGATGCAGAAAAGGCCTTCGATAAAATTCACCCCTTCATGCTAAAAACTCTAAATAAACTAGGTATTGATGGAACGTATCTGAAAATAATAAGAGCTATTTATGACACACCCACAGCCAATATCATACCGAATGGGCAAAAGCTGGAAGCATTCTGTTTGAAAACCAGCACAAGACAAGGATGCCCTTTCTCACCATTCTTATTCAACACAGCATTGGAAGTTCTGGCCAGGGCAATCAGGGAAGAGAAAGAAATAAAGCGTATTCAAATAGGAAGAGAGGGAGGTAAATTGTCAAAGTTTGCAGATGACATGATTGTATATTTAGAAAACCCCATCATCTTAGCCCAAAATCTCCTTAAGCTGATAAGCAACTTCAGCAGTCTCGGGATACAAAATCAATGTGCAAAAATTACAAACATTCCTATACACCATTAATAGATAAACAGCCAAATCATGAGTGAACTCCCATTCACAATTGCTACAAAGAGAATAAAATACCTAGGAATACAACTAACAAGGGATATGAAGGACCTCTTCAAGGAGAATTACAAACCACTGCTCAAGGAAAAAGAGAGGACACAAACAAATGGAAAAACGTTCTGTGCTCATGGATAGGAAGAATCAATATCATGAAAATGGCCATACTGCCCAAAGTAATTTACAGATTCAATGCTATCCCCATCAAGCTACCATTGACTTTCTTCACAGAATTAGAAAAAACAACTTTAAATTTCATATGGAACCAAAAAAGAGCCTGTATAGCCAAGACAATCCTAAGCAAAAAGAACAAATCTGGAGGCATCACACTACCTGACTTCAAACTATACTACAAGGCCGCAGTAACCAAAACAGCATGGTGCTGGTACCAAAACAGATATATAGACCAATGGAACAGAAAAGAGGCCTTAGAAATAATGCCACACATCTACAACCATCTGATCTTTAACAAGCCTGACAAAAGCAAGCAATGGGAAAAGGATTCCGTATTTAATAAATGATGTGAAAACTGGCTAGACATATGCAGAAAACTGAAACTGAACCCCTTCCTTACACCTTATACAAAATTAACTCAAGATGGATTAAAGGCTTAAATGGAAAACCTAAAACCATAAAAACCCTAGAAGAAAACCTAGGCAATACCACTCAGGACATAGGCATTGGCAAAGACTTCATGACTAAAACACCAAAACCAATGGCAACAAAAGCCAAAATTGACAAATGGGATCTAATTAAACCAAAGAGCTTCTGCACAGAAAAAAAAAAAAAAAAAAAACTCTCATCAGAGTGGACAGTCAACCTACAGAATGAGAGGAAATTTTTGCAATCTATCCATCTGACAAAGGGCTAATATCTAGAATCTACAGGGAACTTAAACAAATTTACAAGAAAAAAACAACCCCATCAAAAAGTGAGCAAACGATATGAACAGACACTTCTCAAAAGAAGACATTTATGCAGCCAACAAACATATGAAAAAAAAGCTCATCATCACTGGTCATTAGAGAAATGCAAATCAAAACCACAATGAGATACCATCTCATGCCAGTTAGAATGGTGATCATTAAAAGGTGAGGAAACAACAGATGCTGGAGAGGATGTGGAGAAATAGGAACCCTTTTACACTGTTGGTGGGAGGGTAAATTAGTTCAACCATTGTGGAAGACAGTGTAGCGATTCCTCAAGGATGTAGAACCAGAAATACCATTTGACCCAGCAATCCCATTACTGGGTATATACCCAAAGAATTATATATCATTCTACTATAAAGACACATGCACATGTATGTTTACTGCGGCACTGTTCACAGTAGCAAAGACTTGGAACCAACCCAAATGCCCATCAATCATAGACTGGATAAAGAAAATGGGTCACATATACATTATGGAATACTATGCAGCCATAAAAAAGGATGAGTTCATGTCATTTGCAGGGACATGGATGAAGCTAGAAACCATCATTCTCAGCAAACTAACACAGGAACAGAAAACCAAACACCACATGTTCTCACTCTTAAGTGGGAGTTGAACAATGAGAACACAGGGACACAGGGAGGGGAACATCCCACACGGGGGCCTGTCACAGGGTGGGGGGCTAGGGGAAGGATAGCATTAGGAGAAATACCTAGTGTAGGTGACAGGTTGATGGGTGCAGCAAACCACCATGGCACATATTTACCTATGTAACAAACCTGCATATTCTACACATGTATCCCAGAACTTAAAGTATAATTTTTAAAAAAGACTTCACCAATATTATTTATTTTTCCTGTTGCCTCAGGTTCCAACGTGGCTCAACATGGCAGTTGCTGATCCTGACTTTGCTTAAAATTTGGTACTTTGTTTATCACAAATTTTAAAATTAATTTTGATTTCTCAAAATATTGATTAAAATATTTATCTCTACTATTGAGTTTTTGGGCACACCTTTAAATTTTGCATGCAAGATAAGCACCTTCCTCAGTTGTAGGATGTTGACGGTGATAAGGACATTAGCAAAGGAAATATTGAAAAGCTCATGAATACTGTTGCATAATTCTTCTTAGAGAAAATAGTTTCTTGGTATAGGATAGAACAATTGCTAAAGGGAAGGTGACCTCCTACATAGCATGAAAAGATGTGTCATGATCTTGGTATTTGTAATTTGTTCCCTTTCACTCTGCTCAACTAAAACAAGGATGAAAAACATTTTTCCATTAAAGATTATTAATTTTAAAAATTAATTGAGTCAGAAAAAAATGCAAATTAATTTTATTTTATTTTAAAATTATTTTAATCTTTTGCTTTAAAGAAAACACTGAGTTTATGGGTCACTTTACAAGTGAAATAAGAACACAGATTTGGGGGTAATAAACATAATTTAGCACCAAATATATTTGTTCTAATTTATTTCACAGTTTAAAAACAAAGTGTAAGAGTAGAAAAAGGAAAGAAAGAAGAAAGGAGAGAGAGAGAAGTACAGAAAAAGTTACAATAATCAAAATAAAAACCAAGAGAAAAGGGAAAAGAAAGACTAGCAGAGACATAAATGGAAAGATAGTCGTATGACTTAAAAAAAAAAAAGGTGAAGAGACAGAGAGATACTAGTCCACGAGGAGAGCAAGACCATCCAGAGGCAGAACTCCTTATCCAAGGAATTCAGAAGTAATTAGACATCCCTATTATGTAAAGCTGGCATCTGGTATGAGATTTCTTTTCCAAAAATTTGTGAGTAACCAGAATTTCTATGCATCTCTGGAATGCATGTATTCTAAACTCATTGTGCAACCCTTGCTGACATCAAGGCACCAAAATGTCTATAAATGTAATTGTTTACCATGACCTATGTGGCTAATATGGTAAAAATTACCCTTAAGCTCCCACTTTAAGGTCCATAAATACCCTAAGGAAAAATCTAGTGCAGTGGCATACTCAGTCCTCTCTTGCTGAGGAGCCCTGCTGCACTCCTCTGCAGCATTCTTTCCATCTAATACAGCTTTCCTTTCCAAATCTATACAGTTGTTGGTAAATTCTTCTTACTACCCACAAGCCAACCACACTCCACTGCCTGGGCTGTGACAGCTCGCATGGCAGTCCATATAAATGCACAGTCTACAAATCCATATAACCACAAAAAGAAAACAATGATAAAGAGAGCTGCACAAAGGAAAATAGAGAAAGGAAGCAAAATGAATGAGGTTAGATACGTTCTTAGGTGGAATAACAACCCCATCTTGGAGTAGGTTAGTCTTGCCACCAAAACTTTTAAAAACATGATTTTTTTCATAATTGTGCATATAATCCAGGATCTTACTCACCTCTTAATGTTCACTCTAATACATAAGATAAAATTAATCTGAAGATCTAAAATAGTCCTCAAAATGGAGACTTTTTAATCCTTCTAGGAAAGTTTTATCACCTTGGATAGATTTTTTCCTCCAGATAATCTTGAATTAATTTTACAATGAAAAGTATTACTGGTATTTTATTAAATTGTATTCAATTTATGCATTGGCATGTATATATTCAATAATATTACTTTTAACCAACAAAAGAGTTTGTCTCTGAATTTATTCATTTTTTTCTCAAAAAATATTACCACTTTTTATATGAACAGATACTTTCCAAAAGAAAACATGTATACGGCCAATAAGCATATGAAAAAAAAATGCTCAGCTTGACTATTCATTAGAGAAATGCAAATCAAAACCACAATGAGATACCATCTCACACCAGTCAGAAGGACTGTTATTAAAAAGTCAAAAAATGGCTGGGCACGGTGGCTCACACCTTAAATCCCAGCACTTTGGGAGGCCAAGGTGGGCAGATCACGAGGTCAGGAGATCGAGACCATTCTGGCTAACACGGTGAAACCCCGTCTCTAATAAAAAATACAAAAAAAAAAAATTAGCTGGGCGTGGTGGCGGGCGCCTGTAGTCCCAGCTACTTAGGAGGCTGAGGCAGGAGAATGGCCTGAACCCGGGAGGTGGAGCTTGCAGTGAGCCGAGATCGCACCACTGCACTCAGCCTGGGCGACAGAGTGAGACTCCGTCTCAAAAAAAAAAGTCAAAAAATAAAAATTCAAAGAGAATTTTTTTTTCTTTTTTTACTTTTATGGCACGACTTCTAATATTTTTATATCCTTAACACTTTATACAAAAAAATCAAAGGAAGAAGAAGAACATTTAAGTTTACTTTGTTTCATTTTTCAGAGTTAATAGTTGTTTCACATTCTCACCAAGACTTGATTTTTAAATGTGGATCTTGTATCCTGCAACCCTTGATAAATTTCCTTGTAAATTATAGTTCTTTAAAGACACCATAGTATGCTCTACACATATATTTCTTCTATGAATAAATAGATTTTTATTTTTTTCTTCCTAATATTAATACCTTTAAAAAAAAAACTTTATTTCAGTGGTTAGCACATGTTGAATAGAAGTGGTGAGAGCATGAATACTTGCATTCTTCCTAATCTTAAGGGGGCATGCATTCAAGATTTTATCATATGTTATAATGGTTGCTGTAGGTTTTTCATAATTGCCCTTTATTGGACTGGAGAGGTTCCCTTTCATTTCCAATGTACTTAGAATTTTTTACAGACATGAATGGATGTTAAAACGAATGATTTTCTGCCTCTATTGGCGTTCACCACCACACCCAGCTAATTTATTTTATTTTATTTTATTTTATTTTATTTTATTTTTATTTTTAGTAGAGTTGGGTTTCACCGTGTTAGCCAGGATGGTCTCGATCTCCTGACCTCCTGATTCGCCTGCCTCAGCCTCCCAAATTGCTGGGATTACAGGCACTAGCCACTGCGCCCGGCTGAGGACATGTGTTTAAAAAGGTAGCATAATTCCTATTTCTAGCTGCTCTTGCAACTAAAGGTGGCTGTGTACAGAATAACTCTATTCCTCTATATCCTGTTTGGACAAACCATCTTTCCATTGATTTAAGCACACTTTCAGAATAAAACGTAATTTCTTATCTCAGGAATTCCAAAGTCTAATGGAAGAGGCAAGCTTATATTGAATAATTTAGCAAAGCAGATTGTGCTTGGCAATAATAAAGTAATTCAATATATAAAACATAAGAAAAGAAGGAAATATCTGTTTCATAGTTGTAATTAGAACTTTACTATGCAGAATAGGTAGAGAGGCATTCCTCAAAAGATTAAGAGAGGTATAAAGTAAATGTAAATGTCAACTATAGGGGTTTTCTTAGGCAGAGAATCATGCTTTAGGGTAAATGAAGGTGACGCTGGTATTCAGGTTCCTTTGGAGAAGGCAACAATAAAAGTAGAGTTATCATTTATGAGATCCAAGAAGCCCAAGAAAAGATAATAAGAGCCCAAGCCACAGCAGGCTCAGACTCTTTTTCCTAAAAGGAACGAATAGCTAAATATGACAAAAGTCAAGGTATCTTTTAAGAAAGTTACACTTCCCCTGAAGCACAACAGAAATCAAAGATAGTCACCCTACAGCACTCCTTGCCTCTCTTCCAAGGATACAGCTATGTATTGTTTTTTAAAAAAGGTAAAGGGAATATATCACTTGACCATGTCTCTTTCCAAGGTGAATTTCTCCAAAAGCACAACTTTGGGGCACTTGTATGAGATATAGTTTAAACCCCACTGAATTTGATTTCCCACCCTCCCAGACACTTACCTTTATTATTTTCTCATATTTGTTTGCTTTTGTTTCCTTAATATAGTCCAGGAAAGGTATTTGTGGGCCGTCCTACAGGAGAAGTTATAATGAATTGAAAAATGTGAAGAACCTTCTATTCTCCCAAGAGTATATGGCAAAGAGGGTTTAATTGCACCCAAAATATCAGTGTGGAAGGGTCACATAACTGATACTATAAAGTAACACATTGTCTTACAGAATTTTCGGTCTTAGGCTGAAATATTACCTTCTTCATCAAACTTACCTGACCGCATGTTTGATGTTGTTTGAGTAAAATATAATACTCTTTTATTTCCCAAATGCACACAGACACACACACACACACACACACACACATATTATGTTTTGGGAAATATATGTGCTATAGTATCTATATTTATTCACTTCTTAAATTTGTACTTAATTAAAATGACAAAATGAATTTGCTGAAAGGAGTTGGTAAAATGATCAGCTGTATTCAGTCACATAACTATTGTTTAGTCTTAGTAATGAAAATAGAAAAAAAAAAAAAAAAACCAGCCAGGTGCAGTGGCTCACGCCTGTAATCCCAGCACTCTGGGAGGCCAAGGTGGGTGGATCACCTGAGGTCGGGAGTTCGAGACCAGCCTGGCCAGCATGGTGAAACCTCATCTCTACCAAAAATACAAAAATTAGCTGGGCGTGGTGGCACGCACCTGTAACCTCAGCTACTTGAGAAGCTGAGGTAAGAGAATCACTTGAACTTGGGAGGCGGTGCTTGCAGTAAGCTGAGATTGCACTACTGCACTCCAGCCTGGGTGACAGAGTGAGACTCCACCTCAGTCAAAAACAAAAAATGAAAATAGAAAAAACCGACAGACACTAAAAGCTAAGAAAATAGTGTGTTCATTTTGGAATCTAATTCAAAATTCATTATAATGAATTTTAACGGGCCACCAAAGGCATGTGTTGAAGTTCACTGAATATTATTCAATGTTTGAGAATTACAGAAGCACACATATTTCATTTGTAGCAATGTCTGATTTGTTTTGCATATATATATTTGCATTTATTTAAAACAAAAAATGTCAAAATATATTTCATCTGTTATTTGGAAAAAACATTGAGTAACTAATTGTCCAAATATAGGTCTCTATTTTCTAATTTTTAATTAACAATGCTTCTTATTTAAAAAAATAACTTATTTCAAAATAACTGACATTTAATGTTTTTACATTTTTTAAAGTGTTCATGTACATCTATTTAATTTCTAGATATCGTGAGGGAATCGTCACTGTATCTGGAAGCCAGATGCCAAAGATGTTCAGTTATTATCAATGTATCTATGCATAAAGGATTGAAAATGATTCTTCATGCCATAATTATCTAAATATTCATTCCTTTGGAACACTGTTTTCCACCAATAGTAACAAGACTTGGAACAAAATAAAATAGCAATATCATGTGCATTTTCTATTTGTGCACTTTTCCACTTCTGGAAATAGTCATAGAATCATTTTGTGACAGATTACTATCATCCATGATCCTAAGTCACTAAGAATAAGTGTTAGAGTCTTTGGGTTAAATTGCCATAAGGACTAAATTTATTTTTTAACCAATTCCCTAAAGAATCAACTGATTTTTAGTTTTACAGCATATGTATGACCTCTCCATCCATTTTGCCTTAATTCTAGTTCTTTTTATCCTTCAGTGGTGAGAATGAGAAAACCTGGATGCATATGGCTATGGTTGATTTGAAAAGTACTTTTTAAACATTTGGAAGTTTTTCAAAACCAAAAGCATATTTGCCAAGTGATCTTTTCCCCCTACATTTTAAATCCATGTGCAACCTAAGAGAAATTTAGACCATATGCTAGTTCAGATTGACTTACATTAAAATCATGAAAATTTTATTTAATAGCTCTTTGACACACAGGGAGTGTTTAAATTAAGCTTCTCTAAACTTTACATTTTTCAGAATACACTCTGTTTTCTATCTACCCTCAACTACTCCTCTCTACTCTCCAGGAAAATATCAGATTTAATTCAGGAGGTGTAAGTTGGATGTTTTCAGTCCATCAACAATGATTAAGTAATTTAAAAAGCATTCTTTTTTTCACTTCTTCTCTAGTTTTCGTTTGTTTGTTTAAATATATCTGTGCAAGTTCAGAACAGTTTTATTTATATTAGGACCAATAATCTGAGGAATGAAATAAATTGTTGCATTTGTTGCAATAAATGAGTTTATGCTCCCTTTACAGAACATTAAGGACATGAACTTTTAAGTTTTAATGTTTCACTATAAATGACACTTGAGTCTTCTATTAGAATAAATAAGGTAAACCTTATATAAAGAAAAAATAAAAATCTTCTCCTTCTCATCTGTATTTGCAATCCCACATGCACTGAAGTAATCAATGTTAATGGTTTTCTGTCCATTTGGCCACACCTCTAATGGATGGAATTTATGTAGTGTAATTCTTTGTCAGGTACAACTACACATGAGTAAAACTAGGTGTGATTTAGGACTCAAGATTAGGATTTTTAACTAGTAGTGAAATGGGAAGGGAAAAGCAAAGGTAAAATATACATCAACTAATTGCAGAAGGGTGTATAGAAGGGAGTCATCTGTATATATGACATCTGATGGCCCCGCCACTCAGCTAACCCATCCACGCTTGAAATGATAAATAGACAAGTGCATTGAAAATTGTAAGTGTGACGGAAAGGTCACCACGTGATTGCTACTATTATATTGTTTTATTATTTTGTTCTCCCAACAATGTGTAGCTCAAATTTATACTACAGGCTGTTCATATCCCTTAACAAAATATCCATTAATTTATGAATTTGACAAAATTCTAACTTACTGCAATGCCCTATAAATAATAGTTCAGCCCATCTGCGGTGATGACTGTTCTGGAAGATCTTTCTGATGTTGAATAACTAATACTGTTTTTCAATGTTACTATTAGGTTGGTGCAAAAATAATTGCGATTTTTGCCATTAATCCCAACTACATTTGCACCAACCTAATAGTAATTTAACATGCTGTATCTAACATTTGTGGACACTGATCGAATATGCAATATTCTGGGGAGAAGTTGGTGGAAGAGATGTGTGTTGTTTTGTGAAAGATAGTATTCTGAGGGAGGGCAGAAAAGGGATATATATGTAAGAAAATAGTGGATCTTGATCAGATGCATGCTTGTTCCTATTTACAAGAAGTCTACTCTGTGTTACTGAACAAATAAACTTACATGAAGTCAACTAATTCCAAAGAATTTACCGTCTAGAGAAATTCACATTTGTAATAATAAATAGTTTTCTTAATGACAGAAATTTCATGTCTTTTTTATTTTATAGCTATAAACATAGAGTTATAAAATCTAAATACAGACAAGCCTACCCAGTGTTTGATTATATTCAATGATGTTTAAAAGTAATAGCCTCTCTTTTGTTCTTACTGGGAACATTATCATTAGCACAGTGCTTCATACAGGCTCTTATTACTTCTATCTCCCATTGTTATGATTGGCAAAGCACAAAGCCATACTCAACTAGGAATACTTGGGCACATTGCAGCATTTATCACAGGGTGGACTAGATACTGAGTTTCTTAATTTATAAATTTTTCTTTCCAATGCAAAATTCGTGAAGGCTTAATGTTGGAAAAATGTCTGAATGGCTATAAATTCCCTTCCTAATTCCCTCCCCTCAATGCATACCTGTTTTTTTTGGGGTTTTTTTGGCTCATTCTTAGAACTGTAGCTGTTCTTGAATCTTTGATGGGTTGAAGCTAATCCACATTCAGATTTTACAATCTCATATAATTGCCAAAATTCTACCCTTCAAAACACTTGTTTCTTTCTTTTTTTCTCTTACATTTCCTAAAAGAAAATTAGTGAAAAAACAATTTTTTATTTGGTCTGAAACTTTATGGCAAATCTGAGGACAGGAAGAAATTTAGGGACTTGTTTGTGCACTTTTGATTTGGCGAATACCTGGAATATATATATTTTCTCTCTGCACAATGCAAAGTAGTTGCACTCACAAAGTATCAATTAGAAAAAGAAATTCTTCCCACATTTCATCAGAGTTTTAAGTGGTTACACTACAATAATCCCCAGCTATTTGGGAAATGGTAAAAAAAACTTTGAAGATCAAGCCATCATTATTATTTTCACTAAAACCTAAAAATTCAGCCACAATATGTCAAACCAGTTGGGACAGGACTTCCTTCCTCTAATTTAGTTTTTACTGCTGGATACCTGATGGGCTACTTACTATATCCGGTGTCTCATAGGGCAAATTGTACTTGGAGACAATGTGAATATTGGCTCTGTTATACTCATCAGTCTGAGCCAATATAAACATTCTATGAGTAATTCTGAATACTATCAGTCAGCTTGTCTTCAGCCTTTAAATTTAGTAATAATAGCAAAAATAGTCAACATTTATTGAGAACTATGTTCCAGACTTTACTAAGAACTTTATCTGCAACATTTTATTTAATGCTCATCACCAATCTGTGAGATACTATTGTTTTGCTCACTTTTACATAAAGGAAGTAGGGCTTAAAGAGGCAAAGTAACTTGACTATGATTACATAGCTAATAAATTTTGGAAAATGCCATGATTTAAAACTGTGATTGTAAAAATTATAGCAAAACATCAGACCCTCTTATTATTTACCTCCCCTCTTTCTTTGGAGGTGGTCAATCTGTACATATATACCATAAATTTTTCTCCTATCAAAATGGCTTCATAACATTTGATAACAATTAAGGAAATCTAAACAATGTATGGACTTTAATTTAATATCATGTGGCAATATTGGTTTGTTAGTCTCAAAAAAGTTACCATACCAGTACAAGAAGTTACTGAGAGAGGAAACTGAGTGTGGGGTATGGGAGAACACTCTGTGTTATAGTCAATTTTCTAGCAATCTAAAGCTATTTTAAAATTAAAATTCTATCTTAAAAAATGACTATATAGGCTGGGTGCAGTGGCTCACATGTGTAATCCCAGCACTTTGGGAGGCCGAGGCGGGCAAATCACCAGGTCAGGAGATCGAGACCATCATGGCTAGCACGGTGAAACCCTGTCTCTACTAAAAATACAAAAAAGTAGCCAGGCGTGGTGGTGGGTGCCTGTAGTCCCAGCTACTCAGGAGGCTGAGCAGGAGAATGGCATGAACCCAGGAAGCGGAGCTTGCAGCAAGCTAAGATCACACCACTGCACTCCAGCCTGGGTGACAGAGTGAGACTCTGTCTCAAAAAAAAAAGAAAATGACTGTTTATGCATACCCAGCCGGTGTTTAAAACAATCCACCCATACAACTAACAGACATCTTCTATCACAATTTTATGATGGTTTTGCTAAAGAGTGGCAAAATATACTCAGAAACCAAATTAGCTGATTTCGTTAAACCCATTATTCTTAATGTCAGAAGCCCTTACTCCATGTTTTCAAAATTCATGATATTGTAAGGATTGTGAAAAAATTCGAAAGCAAATTAAGGTAGTCAAAGGAAAAGTGTTTACAAAAATGTTACTAGCACAACAATCCATCTACAAAAATGTGAACATATTTTAATAACCTTGAACATGGCAAGAAGAGTTGCAATATAAAAAGAGATTTACATGTACAAAAGCTGAGGGAAAAAGTTTCAGCTTCAAGCATTAACGTTTTAGTTCATAAATCTGAAGGAAAATAAAGAGAAAATAAAGGCATTAAGAGATATGAAACAATGTAAAAATGAATATTTCTTTTATGAATCCTTGTGAATATATGACAGTATACAAGCTACAGAAAACTAGTTTACTGGGAGGATCACGAGGTCAGGAGATCTAGACCATCCTGGCTAACACGGCGAAACCCTCTTCTCTACTAAAAAATACAAAAAATTAGCCAGGAGTGGTGGCGGGCACCTGTAGTCCCAGCTACTAGTGGGGCTGAGGCAGGAGAATGGTGTGAACCCGGGAGTCAGAGGTTGCGGTGAGCCGAGATCGCGCCACTGCACTCCAGCCTGGGCGACAGAGAGAGACTCGGTCTCAAAAAAAAAAAAAAAAAGAAAGAAAAAAGAAAACAGATAAAGGACAAGCAAATAGAGAGGGGGAAAGCAGCCACCACCGTAATTTGAACAGTAAAACTGAGAGGAACTTTGAAGTGGAAAGGAGTGTAGTCTTTATTTCATCCTTGGGGATTTGTCAGGGCTGGAGGATGCACACAACAAATAAATAATTTAGAGTGCTCTGAAATATGGTCAGACAGCATATGCCTTGCAGTTATGTCTACACTTTGTGCTTGATCCAAGCATACATATTATTGGGGCAATATCTGACTGATACCTTTTAAACACACCACACACACACACACACACACACACACACACACAATGTTTTATAGAAAATATATCTGGGCCTGGCTACATTTCCAGAGTGCCCCATTTCTCTTGGTTCAAATTTCCGTCTAGAAATCAAGTTAAATCTTTGGGATGACACTAATGTTGTAAAGGTGCTGCATAAAAATAAGATTTTTTAAAGTAGATAAACCATTCAATAATTTTCTACAGCAGGTGAATGACAGAAGCATTGACCTGAAATTTCACAATGGACTCCAGTGAGAATTCCCTGCAATCATGTCTCTTTTCCCATTTGTTAAGTACAACCACAGTACTACAACCACAGCCACAACTACACCAACACGATTTCCTCACATGATCAGCTGTACTTTCCTGCTCTAGTCCAAGATCTTCCAGCCATGCCTTCCTACAGCACTCTACAGCAAGGGTCAGCAAACATTTTCTAAAATGAGCCAGATAGTCAGGACTGGGAAAGGCTTTGATAAATGAGAGAGAACGAGTGACTACACAGCCGGGAGGAGTGTGAAAACAGAAAAAGGACAAGGCCGGGCGTGGTGGCTCACGCCTGTAATCCCAGAACTTTGGGAGGCCGAGGCGGGTGAATCACGAGGTCAGGAGATTGAGACCATCCTGGCTAACACAGTGAAACCCCTGTCTCTACTAAAAATATAAAAAATTAGTCAGGTGTGGTGGCAGGCGCCTGTAGTCCCAGCTACTCGGGAGGCTGAGGCAGGAGAATGGCGTGAACCCGGGAGGCAGAGCTTGCAGTGAGCCGAGATCCCACCACTGCACTCCAGCCTGGGCCACAGAGAGAGACTCCGTCTCAAAAAAAAAAAGAAAAAAGAAGAAAGAAAACAGATAAAGGACAAGCAAATAGAGAGGGGGAAAGCAGCCACCACCGTAATTCAAGTTTTATGTGCCGTAATGTCGCTCTCAACTGCTCACCTCTGCTAATGTGGAGCAAAAGCAGCAATAGGCAATATGTAATGAGAGATATGGCTGTCTTCTTCAGTGAAACTTAATAAAAAGTGGCAGCAGGCTAGATTTGGCTTGTGGGCTATAGTTTGTCAAACTATGATGGAACGTTTAAAATTTCCCTGGTTACTTTAACTGCAAAAGTGAGTCTTGCATGTTATATTTTACCTCTTCCAGCAGGGCATACAGAGAGGAGCTAGTCGGAACACTTCTTTTTGACATTTATATACTGAGAAGTATACCAGTGTGTTACTACAGTACATCATGGAGAGTATTCTATCCTTTCCTTTCAGTTCTCATCTTTTGTCCTAGATTAATAGAGAACATCAAGTACTGTTTTCGGACAGAAAAACTAACAAGCCACCTAAACCCAGTCTTTCTGGCCTCTTAACATTAATGTTGAACTTTCCTTATGCACGGTCAACAAAGATGCTTCAACACTTCTGTAAGCTTCTCCAATCAGACATTGTGTTTCATTTTATCATCTGCAAAAAGCAGGGGAAAGAGTTTCCAATTTTGTATTGGTTATCAACTGCAGCATAACAAACCACCCCACAACTCAGAAAAATAATCATTTATCCTCTCAGCTCAAGTATCTGGAAACATCTAAGACCAAGTTGATCTAGGTTGAAACTAGTTGGGCTTCACTGAACTTGCACTTCTGCAGTTTACTGACTGGAGGGAGTTTTATTATTTACTGGCTTGCATTGGGCAAATTATCTAACGAGGATCTGCACCACCTTTCTTCAATCTTCCTGGAAACAAGAGACTAGCTGAGATATGTTTGTCTCATGGTAGTGAAAGAGGCACAAATCAAGTGTAATTATGCAAACTCCATTTAAGCCTTTGCTTTTGTAATGCCTGCCAAAGTTCCACTGGTCAAAGCAAGCCCCAGGAGTAAACCTAGGTCACCAAGCCATAGTAGAAAGACACTACACGTGGAGCGGATTCAGAGAAGTGTGAACATTTTAGTCAGATGTGCAACCTCTCTAAGACTGGCACAAAGGTGAGTGTTAGTAAAAGCCCAGCTTAATTCCAGCTACCTGATGTTCAGTTCAGTTTTTCAGTTGTAAAGAAGAGAAGATGATGCCTACCACAGAAGATCATTTGTGCAATTACAAGGATTAAATAAGAATATGAGAAATGTGTGAAGTGCCTAATACAAAGTTAATTGGTAAATGTTCTATATTTTTCATATACTCTTGGGCTTGAAAACAGATTAATTCTAAGCTTTCTAATATTATTCTGTCATAATTGCATAGTTTAGTGGGCCTATCAGCATGTATAAGCAAATGTTAATCAGAGCCAGCCAAGGTTGTGTCTTTTGGATACCAGGAAAGAGTTACCGTGGCTCTTAGAGGGGAATTGATATGGAGTTTAGTAAAAAAATAAATTTTAGTTTGCTATCCAAAATATATGTTTTGTAAATAGAGCTAAGATTTGACTGGAAATTTGAGAAAGGTTGGACAATTAGTTATGTATATAAGAAACTGTGCTGAACCTGCCAAATTCTTTGAAGTGGGTCACAATGATTGAACAGAGAAGGTGCAAGTATGATATACAGGAATATCACATGACAAGATTTAGTGGGTAGGTGGTTATTGCCATTTGGTCTGTTTTGCTATTTATAACCAGTCTTAGGAGTTTTCTTTAAAACTCATGAAGAAATGAGAGTCTACACTAGCACACAATAATAATATAGATCGGTTGAAAGTAAAAGGAGGAAAAATGGTATGTTATGTAAACATTAATAAAAGAGGGCAGGAGTGTTATCTCAATACCAGCTAAAATTAATTTCAGAGCAAAGACAATTGGGAGAGACAGAGAAGGGCATCACGTAAGAAAAAAAGAGTCAGTTCACAAAAAAGATCTGGCAATCTTAAATGTATGTGCAACCAATAACAGAGCTACAAAATATGTGAAGCAAAATCTGATAGAACTGCAAGAATAAATAGACAAATCAACAATCATAATTGGAGACTTCAACAAGCATCTTTCAATAATTGGTAGAAAAACTAGATCTAAATACTATCAATGTTATATATAAAAAAAAAAAAACTCAACAACACCATCAAGCAACAGGATCTTACTGGCATTTATAAAGTGCTCCACCACTGGCTGGGTGCGGTGGGTGTAATCCCAGCATTTTGGGAGGCCAAGGCGAGTGGATCACCTGAGGTCAGGAGTTGACCAGCCTGGCCAACATGGCAAAACCCCATCTCTACTAAAAATACTAGAATTAAGGCTGGGCCCGGTGGCTCACGCCTGTGATCCCAGCATTTTGGGAGGCCGAGGCGGGCAGATCACCTGAGGTCAGGAGTTTGAGACCAGCCTCAATATGGAGAAACTCCATCTCTACTAAAAATACAAAATTAGCCCAGCATGGTGGTGCATGCCTGTAATCCCAGCTACTCGGGAGGCTGAGGCAGGAGAATCACTTGAACCTGGGAGGTGGAGGCTGTGGTGAGCTGAGATTGCACCATTGCACTCCAGTCTGGGCAACAAGAGTGAAACTCCGTCACAAAAAAAAAAAAAAAAAAAAAATACTAGAATTGGCCGGGCGTGGTGGTGCATGACTGTAATCCCAGCTACTCGGGAGGTTGAGGCAGGAGTATCGCTTGAACCCGGGAGGCAAAGGTTGCAGTAAGCCGAGATTGCGCCATTGCACTCCAACCTGGACAAAAGGGTGAGACTCTGCCTCAAAAAAAAAAAAAAAGAAGAAAAAAACGGGCTCCACCCCCTAGCAGCAGAATACAGCAGAACATTTAGGTACCCACAGAACATAAACCAAAATGGACTGTATCCTGGATTTTAACAAACATTAAGAATTTTTTAAAAACTGAAATCCTGTAGAATGTATCCTCCAGCCAAAATGGCATCAAATTAAAAATAAAAAAGTAAAATAACAGCAGAATCTTAAATACTTGAAAAATAAACAGCATACTTTTTTAGTTCTTTTTTTTACATTTTTATTTATTTTAACTTCTGGGGTAGATGTGAAGGATGTGCAGGTTTTTTACATAGGTAAATTTGTGCCATGGTGGTTTTCCCTACCTATCAACCCATCACCTCGGTTTAAGCCCAGCATGCATTAGAGATTTTTCCCGATGCTCTCCTCTCCCTCCCCCATCCACAGGCCCCAGTGTGTGTTGCTTACTTCCCTGTGTCCATGTGTTCTCATTGTTCAGCTCCTACTTATAAGTGAGAACGTTAGAAGTTTGGCTTTCTGTTTCTGCATTAGTTTCCTGAGGATAATGGCTTCCTGTTCCATCCATGTCCCTGCAATGGACATGATCTCCTTCATTTTTATGGCTGCATAGTATTCCATGTTGTATGGGTACTGCATTTTCTTCATCCAGTGTATTACCGATGGGCATTTAGGTTGATTCCATGTCTTTGCTATTGTGAATAGTGCTAAACAGCAAGCACACTTCTAAGGAGAACGTCTCAAGGGAAACAATTAAATATATTAAACTGAATAAAAATAAAAATACAACATATCAAACTTGATTTAACACAGTTGACATCAGTGCTGAGAGGAAAATGTATTTCACTAAATGTATATAATAGAAAAGTAGAAATCTCTCAAATAAAAATTCAAGCTATCACATCAAGAAAGTAGAAAATAGTAGCAAAATAAAATCAAAACAAATATAAGAAAGAATATAATAGGGATAAGAGCAGAAATAAATGAAACAGCCAAAAGAAAACAACAAAGAAAAGCAAAGAAATAAAGCTGGTTCTTTGAAAATATCTATAAAATTGACAAACCTTAACTAATAATGATAAAGAAAAAAGGGATGTCATAAATTACCAATTTCATGAATGAAATGGGCTATCCTTACAGACCTTGAAGACATGAAAATGATAAAGGAATGTCATGAACAACTCCACTCACATACATTTGACAACTTGGGGAAAATGGGCCAATTTCATGAAAAGCAGAAACCACCACAAAACTCACCCAATCTAAAATAGGTAATTTAATAGCCCTAAAATGTAAGGACATTTAATTTCTAATTTTAAAGACTCCTGAAGGAGAAATCTCCAGGACAAAATGGTTTTACTAAAGAATTTTATGTACTGCTTAAAGAATTGACACCAATACACACAATCTTTTCTGAAAATAGAGAATCTTTCCCAATTCATTTTATGAAGCTAACATTACTCTGATATCAAAATAGTACAAAAAAGTAAACTATAGCCCGGTAATTCTCTTGAACATGGATACACCAATTCTTAACAACATTAGCAGTAGCACTCAGCGATGTACACAAAGAATTACACATCATGTCCCAGTGACGTTTACTCCAGTGACTGCACACCTAGACATTCATCCCACTGAAATAAAAACTTTTTTTTTGCACTTGTAATTGGCTTCCCCTCTGCTTTTGTTGGCAAGAGCAGGTCGGTGTCCCAGGCTTAGAATCCATTTTTCTCTCTTTCTCTCCATCTGTCTCTCTGTCTCCGTCTCTGTCTTTGTCTCTCCCTCTCTCTCTCTTTTTTTGACAGAGCCTTGCTTTGTCGTCCAGGTTGCAGTGATGCGATCTCGGCTCACTGCAAGCTCCGCCTCCCGGGTTCACGCCATTCTCCTGCCTCCCGAGTAGCTGGGACTACAGGCGCCCACCACCATGCCCGCTAGTATTTTGTATTTTTAGTAGAGATGAGGTTTCACCGTGTTAGCCAGGATGGTCTTTATCTCCTGACCTTATGATCCGCCCGCCTCAGCCTCCCAAAGTGCTGGGATTACAGGCGTGAGCCACAGTGCCCGGCCAGAATGCATTTTTCCTCCCACACCAAAGCACCTGCAGTATGGGTGAAGCAGCTTGGAGCCTGGCTGCATAAGCCTGCACAGCAGGAGGGTCCCAGCAGGAGGGTCGAGGTGCCACTGCCTGGGTCCAGCTCACAGGCTACCAGGGAGGCTCCGATCTGGCTCCCTGGTGCTGGCAGTGTCCTGTTCCCAGGATCTGCATGTGGGGGTGCCTTCCTGCATCTCCCCATCAGTGGTAGGTGCTCCTCCCAGCCGCCTCTTTCAGGCCTGGAGACAGCGGCCTGCACCTCAACCCTACTGCATGCCAGTGAAGCGAAGCACCCCGGGCCAGAAGCCCCACAGCTGTTGGCCCTGGTTTGGACACCAGGCAGGGGGCACCACAGCAGGAGCTAGCAGCCCAGCCCCGATTCTGTGGCCCCGAGTGCCCCGTTGCTGATGGCCCTGTGTTCTGGGCACGGACCAAGGAGGAGCAGGTGTGGAAGGCGCCTCAGGCAGGCCCTGGGCTCCGTGGGCGTCTTGTGCTCGGAGATTTTGAGGCCATTTGCATCCAGCTTCGCCAACCAGAGCTCTAAGCTGCAGCGGCGGCCACCCACAACAGCACCACCACTAGTGTCTTGGGGGCTTTCTTCAGAGGAGGCTGTCAGCATCCTCGAGTTCCAGGCGCTCTAGCCCCAGTCCTGCTTCAAGAGGCTTTTTCCCACCACAGGCTTCTCCTCAGTGGCCAGAAAGCTGGGTCAACTCCCATGAACTTTGCCAGTAACGCAAGGCTGTCACTGACATTTGTGGCGCCAAGACTTGCGCACGCGGATTGCACACATCGGCCACTTCCTGCACCACGTGCAATGACGCGCGCACGCCTCACGCGCACGCCGCATAACGTCTGAGGCGCGCACGCCTCACGCGCGCCCCGCACGCGCATAACGGCTTGGCTTACCAGTAACGGGTGCGCTTCGCTTTGCGTTCCTCGCTTGGCCTTGCGTTCCTAGCTTGGCTTGGCGTTAGTCGCTTTGCCTGGTGTTTCTTGCTTGGATTGGCGTTTTCTCCCTCGCATTCCTTTGCTGGGCCTGACTTTTTCTCTGCTGGGTTTGGCATTCCCTTGACTGGGCTGGGTGTTTCCTTCGGAGGGGGGGGCTTGGCCTTTCCTGGGGTGGGCCTGGGGTCCCCCTGGTGGGCGTGGGCTTTCCCCGGGTGGGTGTGGGTTTTCCCTGGGTGGGGTGGGCTGGGCTCCCTTGCTGGGGTTGGCAAGTTTTGGCTGGGATTGACCTTTCTCTTCAAACAGATTGGAAACCCAAGGTTTCCTGCTAGTTGGTGAAACTGGTTGGTAGACGCGATCTGTTCGCTACTACCGGCCTCCCCTGGCTGTTAAAAGCAGATGGTGGCTGAGGTTTGTTCAATGCCCACTGCCTCTACTGTGAAGAAGCCATTTGATCTCAGGAGCAAGATGGGCAAGTGGTGCCACCACCGCTTCCCCTGCTGCAGGGGGAGCGGCAAGAGCAACATGGGCACTTCTGGAGACCACGACGACTCCTTTATGAAGATGCTCAGGAGCAAGATGGGCAAGTGTTGCCGCCACTGCTTCCCCTGCTGCAGGGGGAGCGGCACGAGCAACGTGGGCACTTCTGGAGACCATGAAAACTCCTTTATGAAGATGCTCAGGAGCAAGATGGGCAAGTGGTGCTGTCACTGCTTCCCCTGCTGCAGGGGGAGCAGCAAGAGCAACGTGGGCGCTTGGGGAGACTACGACCACAGCGCCTTCATGGAGCCGAGGTACCACGTCCGTCGAGAAGATCTGGACAAGCTCCACAGAGCTGCCTGGTGGGGTAAAGTCCCCAGAAAGGATCTCATCGTCATGCTCAGGGACACTGACATGAACAAGAGGGACAAGGAAAAGAGGTAACCGGGCCTGGGATGGGAGGAGGCGGGACATGGGGGGATGATGGGGACATACCCTCCTGGCGCAGGGAGGGAGGAGCCAGGCTTTCTCTTCCTCCGCAGGCACCACACCACCCTGGGTGTGGAAACCTCAGAGAGGTCAGGGCCCAGGTCCCTTTATAAACAGCGACACAAAAAATTTTAGCTGATTTCCAATCCAATTACAATTTCCCTTATAGAACACTAATAGACTGTTTTAAAGTGATTTAACTCGCAAAATTAAGTCGATGCAGCAGATTATTTTTAATGTACACATTTTAAAACAATGTTCTGTACACTATAGAAAGGTGTATATTGAGAACTAAGTCCCATAATATATCAACTTCTGGGCTAAATATCTTTCAAATAAAATCCAATATGGATTTTATATCGATGTACCCCTATGTAAATACGTTCTTTACTGAGTAACCTTAAAAGGAAACTGAAATGGGAAGTATGGTTTATATCTTTGAATAGGAAGGTTCGTTTTTCTTAAGATGTGAGCTTTTTCTGTGTTTATCACTTTTACGTAAGCCAAATAAAAATAGCAAAGTCTTAGTGTCTTTAAATTGCACATGATGTATTTTATCATTGTGATAAATTGGTTTTTTGTAACAGAATGGAAGAAGACTTGCTTTTCCAGATATCAAAATGTGCATGTGTTATTTCCACAAATTGTTTACTAACAGCTGAAAAGACATAAATGAACAGAACAGAATAGGAAATCCAGAAATACCCAAATATATGTAAGAATTTAGCACTTGATAATGGTGATGTTTCATATTGGTAAAACAAGGTGAATTATTCATAAATTAAATGCATGCTGCTTGGAGAAAACTACCTAGATTTTTATGTCACAAAAATAAGTTCCTGGAGTATAGATTAAAAATTTTAAAGATACAAACGGAGAAAAGTACCAGAAGAAAACACAAATGCCTATTTATATGTGAAAATATTTATTTATTTTTCTGAGACAGACTCTCACTCCATAGCCCAGGCTGGAGTGCAGTGGTGCAATATCAGCTCACTACAACCTCTGGTTCCTGGTTCAAGTAATTCTCTGCCTCAGCCTACCAAGTAGCTGGGATTACAGGCACCCACCACCATGCCTGGCTAATTTTTTGTGTTCTTAATCAAGACGGGATTTCACCATCTTTGCCAGGCTGGTCTTGAACTCCTGTCCTTGTGATCCACCCACCTCAGCCTCCCAAAGTGCTGAGATTACAGTCATGAGCCACTGAAACCGGCATATATATGCAGATATAATAAAATAAGCTCAATTTAAAATTGGGCAAGGTACTTTTTTGCATGTCTACCAGTGACCTGTGCACATAGGAAAACATAGCATTCCTGCTAAGAGAAGGAATTTAAGTTAGAAGAGGAATGAAAGACTATTTTCTGTTTAAGTTAGAAGAGGAATGAAAGGCCAGCCATGGTGGCTCATGCCTGTAATCCCAGCACTTTGGGAGGCCAAGGCAAGTGGATCACGAGGTCAGGAGTTTGATACTAGCCTGGCCAGCATGGTGAAACCCGTTTCTACTAAAAATACAAAGAATTAGCTGGGCATGGTGGCATGCACCTGTAATCCTAGCTACTCAGGAGGCTGAGGCAGGAGAATTGCTTGAACCAGGGAGACGGAGGTTGCAGTGAGCTGAGATTGCACCACTACACTCCAGCCTGGGTGATGGAGTGAGACTCCATCTCAAAAAAATAAATAAATAAAAATAAATAAATAAATATAAAGGAATGAAATACTGTTTTCTGTCCACAAAGTTTGTGAGGGTGAAGAACAGTGGTACTTATATACTTGCTGAAAGTTTAAGTTGCTGCGACTTTTCAAATAGAAACTTTGATGGTAAGAACCACATTTTTAAAATGTGTATGCCTTTTACCCATCTATTCCATTATACTGAAATATCTATATGAAACAGACACAGCTGTTTTTCTTAGTATTGCTTAAAATAGCCATGTATTGAGAAGAACTCATATAAAGATTTTATGAACAAATTTCAGTGCATCCATAGGATGGAATAATATGTAACCATTGAGGGTGTCAGTAGATACAGAGATATGTCGGCATGCAAAGATGTACTTTGCTATATCAAGTGAGAAAAAATCAGTTTGTTATACATATACACAAACAGAATCTGCTCTTGTGTTAGCTGGAAATATGTGGAAAATATAATCAAACTTATTTCTGGGGATTTGTAAGTGAAGTTTTTCCCTTTCTCTTATCTGTGATTTCTGCAATGAACATCTGAAAAGTTTTAGTTAAGTTTCATTAGTAATGAAATAATCCTTGGGAAGAGAAGGAATATGCTACTTGCATAGATACAAATAATTTCTGACATTCTATTATTTATTTTTATACCTGTGGATGGCTATCTTCTGTGAACTTTTACCCTCTTCAGAAGTAGAGGGCTTCTGTTTACCTCTTCTGGTAGATTTTATTGTATATACATTTTATTATATATAGATTAATGTGTAAATAGTATGGATTAATTATTTTAGTTTAGTTATATATTTATGAAAACTAAAATAGCAAATATAAATGATCGTTACTATCGCAAATGTATTGCTCTACTCAACAGGAGTTTTCTTTTAAAAATATTGAACTTCCAACCTATGTTTATCCATTCTTTCAATCCGTTTAGTCATCAAACATAAGCCAGACACCTATTATATGGCAGGCATATTCTGCTATCTCTCAGGTTCCTTCCACCTTTGAAAACTTCATGTTTACCTGCTGCGCCTGAGCAAGCTGAGAGAATCAAAATTGGGGCATTAGGACTTAATCTCAATTGAAGCTTTTCCTCCCTCCTTTCAAACAAAAGCATTTCTGAAGGTGACAAATAGTAAAAGATAACCCTTAACTGCCCTTTTGAAAATTTATAAGGCTTGGGTAAAGACTGTTTTAGCTGTTTTAAGAACTTAAATGTGGTACATAAACAGCATGGAATACTATGTAGCCATAAAAGAAAGAACAAGAGCCTGTCCTTTGCAGGGACATGGATGGTGTTGAAGGCCATTATCCTTAACAAACTAACATAGGAAGAGAAAACCAAATACTGCATGGTCTCTCTTATAGGTGGGAGCTAAATGAGGAGAACACACAGACACCTAGAGGGAAGCAACACACACTGGGGCCTATCAGAGGGTGGAGGGTGGGAGGAAGGAAAGAAGCAGGAAATAGAACTAACGGGTACTAGGCTTAACACCTGAGTAATGAAATAATCTGTACAACCAACCCCCTTGGCACACGTTTACCTATGTTAACCAACCTGCACATCCTGCACCTGTATCCCCGAATATAAAAGTTGAAAAAAGCTCCACAAATAGTTTCATAAATCCATTTGAAAAAGAGAAAATTTATAACAGTCTTAAATCCTAATATGAATGATTGGAAATATCTGATGTACATACATTGTATAAATCTAAGTATTGAAAAAAATGAGCCCATGCTATTCATTTGAATTTCAAGTTTTCTTTGGCTTAAAGTTTTTGAAAACCAAAGTAAGAAATAGATTATTTTAGAAAATTGTTTTTGTTTTCACCTCAGCCCTCTTATTCCATAGTTCTTTTAAAAACTAAAATTTATCTAAATGCTAGTCATCTGACTGGAACTGCCCCAGACCTGTTATATTATAACATATTCTACTTAATATAAGGCACCAGGGATTGTATGATGCCCCATTATTTTATGTCTCACTAAGAAAATTATTTAAATGCTGCCAATTATAATTATAGTAAATCATGAATTATAAGTGGTATTTCAGTGTAAGAAATGTTAAAACATGGAGACAATGATCATCTTAGACTCAATAAAATACAGTACAACGCTACCTGTAATCTTTAAAATGTACCTGAAAGTGTAGGTATAATTGTATCGTTTCACTTAATTCAAATGTTGTCTTTAGTGGTATTAGTAAAAATTATAATATCTTACAATTTTTGAGCTGTTATTTGTGTTAGGAACTATTCTATATTTTGTGTAGAGTCTTATTTAAGCATTACAGTGGTTTCCTCTGAGAAACTGACTATTTTCATTCCCATTTTATTGATGAGGAAATTGAGACACAAAAAGGCTAAGCAACAGCTAGGAAGTGACAGAGCTTCAAGTAGGATTCCAGCCCAAGTTGAATGTCATCCAAGAGCTATGCTCTTTCTATTCAAATAGGCTGCTCTTTCATTAATACAGTGAGTAATGAGAGGTAATAAGTAGTGTGCTTTCTTCAAAGGAAAATTGAGTTTGTTTTGAAGGCAGAGTAATAGGCTATTCAGTGTTTGCAACTACATGAATCATTAATGTGGCATTAGCTAGTGAACTACAATTTCCTCAAGTCTTCTCACTCTCATAGGACTGCTCTACATTTGGCCTCTGCCAATGGAAATTCAGAAGTAGTACAACTCCTGCTGGACAGACGATGTCAACTTAATGTCCTTGACAACAAAAAAAGGACAGCTCTGATAAAGGTATGCAGTAGTCAACTATATCAGCGTGAGATGGGTTTGATTTCAATAGATAGCATAAAAATGAGTTTTCTCATTTAAATATAACTAGTTGGTGAAAGCTGTGGAATGTTATTTTGAATTCCTAGGACTTGTAATTTGTTTTTGGTCTAATACTGACAGGCCATACAATGCCAGGAAGATGAATGTGTGTTAATGTTGCTGGAACATGGCGCTGATCGAAATATTCCAGATGAGTATGGAAATACCGCTCTACACTATGCTATCTACAATGAAGATAAATTAATGGCCAAAGCACTGCTCTTATATGGTGCTGATATTGAATCAAAAAACAAGGTATAGATCTACCAATTTTATCTTCAAAATACTGAAATGCATTCGTGTTAACATTGACCTGTGTAAGGGCCAGTTTTCCGTATTTGGAAGCTCAAGCATAACCTGAATGAAAATATTTTGAAATGACTTAATTATCTAAGACTTTATTTTAAATATTGTTACTTTTAAAGAAGCATTAGAGGGTACAGATTTTTCAGTGCACTTGTGGTTAGTGCTTTTTTTAAAAAAACACTGAATTTGTAAAAGGTAATACTTTTTTTTTTTTCAATTTTTCCCTGCCAAGTTTTTTTTCCCTAATGAATGTAAAATGACAAAATTTGCCCTGGAAATAGGTTTTACATTAAAACTCCAAGAAAACTTAAACATGTTTCAGTGAATAGTAATCCTGCTACTTTGGCAAATTCCTAAAAAAACACTAATAGATATGAGGTGATGTATCTCTCAGTGGCAAGGCTTAAGATATTTCTGATTGCTCATGAGGCAGAAGTGGAAAGGGAAAAATGCAGCAATCAGAAATATCAAGGCCAACTTGGAAATTAGGTAATGGGGGAAAAGACCATGAAGAGGTTGTGTGTGTGTGTGTGTGTGTGTGTGTTGTTACTGTTGTTCATTCATTTGTTTCCTTTATATGGTGAGACAGGGTTCTTTTCCATTTTAGAGAATGACAGTTTTCAGTTTGGGAGAGGGAGTTAGTGGGTTGTAAACTGCCTAGAGATAAATTTTAGGAGGCCTCTGAGGAACCAGATTGGCAGTGAATATGTGGTAATGTATTGGGAACCCTTGAGTAGAAGGAATAACAAGTAATTAACCAACTTAGTATCCTATTCTGGTAGAAATGGCCAATTAGAGTCTCAACTCTGCTTTCAATTCTAGAATGTCTTGATGGGAAGGTGGGAGATAAGGGGCTTATAAGTAAAAAGATCAGGTTGGATTTTGAGTTTACTAGACCTTGTTCTACTCTTACCGGGGAAAATTTTGTGGTGTTTTCAGCAAATGAATCTCTCTCCTACTCTTTCCTCTTTTTGACCAAATCCTCAAATGATAAAGGGAATTGTTTATGTGGATGAGAGATGAGACTGAAATAATTGTCTATTGCACTAGCTTCCAGCTAGAGTTGTGCATTCCAGTTACCTCAGGAAAATTTTTAAATAATCTTCAAGTCTAGGTTTTCCCCTGAAGATTTTGATAGAGTAAGTCTAATAAAGCCGGGATATGTATGTTTAAAAATGTTTCCTTGAAGCCAGGCATGGTGGTGCATGGCTGTAGTCCCAGCTGCTAGGGAGGCTGAGGTGGGAGGATTGCTTGAGCTTAGGAGTTCTAGTCTAGCCTGGTCAACATAATGAGACCCTGTCTCTAACAACAACAACAACAAATTTCTCAAAATCCGGATACACTCCTGCTTAACCACTGAATACATAAGTGTAATATGTAAATTCTTATATCTCAGAAACTTCAGATATTTCTAGAAGAGTTGGAGTTGGATATGTGCTAATTCCTTTAAATCTTTCCTTTCCAATAACATTAATCTAAATTTTTGTTTGTTTGTTTTTGAGATGGGGTCTCACTCTGTTCCCCAGGCTGGAGTGCAGTGGTGCGGTCACAGATCACCACAGCCTTGACGTCCCTAAGCTCTGGTGGTCCTCCAATCTGTTTTTGTATTTTTTTTTTAAGTAGAGATGAGGTTTTTGCCGTGTTTCTCAGGCTGATCTTGAACTCCTGGGCTCAAGTGAATCACCCACCTCAGGCTCCCAAAATGCTAAGATTACAGGTGTGAGCCACCATTCCTGGCCTAGTCTGACTTATCTCTGTCGTTGAGACATTAAAATGAATATTATTGGCACTATCTATCAGCTTACAGAATAATACCTTTTCCTTTCTACCATCAGTTATTCACTGCCATTCAGAAGGTCTTTAGAAATTTGCAGTGAGTAGTCTTCCAATAAGTAGAGGATGGCTCTCTCAGGACTTTGTGTCCCTTTGTTCACTCATTCAAGTGCTTAGGTCAGTAAGTCGTTTTTAAGAGCAGAGTTTTCTCAGAATTGTAGCAAATTCTAAACCTTTTTTGTCAATTGAAGCTGTATTATGGGCTATCCAGTATGTCTCTTAAGTTTGTAGAGCTTTGGCTTAATCAGGATGGCAGGTTTAAACACTAAAAACCATGGAGTTATTAAGAATACAGATAGGAAATCTCTTAGTTTCAGTAATCCTATGAACTGATTATCTATCTAGTTAACAATCTGGAAAAATTAAATACAAATAGATTTTAAATGAATAAATGTTGGAAAAATTCTTGAAATGGGCAGTGTATTAATAGCAATATTTATTGCACGTTGGAGCTTGAACTTTGGTAAAACATGTGAAACTAAAGAAATATTTTACATTCAAATTCTTGCTTTATACACAACAATTTTGTCTTAGGGTTGGATAATATAGAGATAAAAGATACAGCCCCTGCCCTCAAGAAGCTTTTTGTTTAAATGAAAAAAAAAATCATCCAAAAGTGCCATGCCAAATGCTCGTTTAGAAACAAAGAGTCTTGGAAACAGTAAATGTTTAAGGTGAGTTTTTGAGATGATCAGATTTAATGTGGTGAGGCAGAGAAGGGATGTTTCCAAGGGAAGGAGTGGCATGTGGGAAAGTACAGAAGAGTGAGAAGGAAGCGACCAAGTTTTATTTACTTTCTGTGAGTGTAAGTCCATAAGCTTCCAGTTCAGTTGAGAAATACATAATTTTTTGAATTACATATTGTTTTTGTTTTATATTGTTTTACAGTGTGGCCTCACACCACTTTTGCTTGGCGTACATGAACAAAAACAGCAAGTGGTGAAATTTTTAATCAAGAAAAAAGCTAATTTAAATGTACTTGATAGATATGGAAGGTATGGTTATTTCTTTTAATTTGTGTGTTGTTCTAGATTGATAGCAGTCACTCAAGTCATAAATAATAAATTAAAAAGATTAAATTATACTTATTGGGACATAGTGATCAGTATCAACACAAATCAGTTAAGTAGAAAAGCAATTATTTGGACTGGGCAACATAAAGAACTGTTTTAGTAGGATTCATCTTCTCTTATTATATTGACTGATGTTATTTGTTGTATGATGTTTTTGGTTACATGATCTTATGTTAGCTAAAGGGATTTCATATTAATTTTATGAAGTTTGAACTTTAACTTTCAGTTTACTTTATGACTCAGTATTGAACTTCTTAACCCTTTCTAGTAGGTTTTAACCTCTGTATCTTATATGCTTTTCCACTAAATATGCTGTATTAAACATAAATAGGAGTTGAAAATCCTTTTATCTTTTCAATGACTCTGCTTTAAGTTGCTTTCTTTGAAGAATATTAATGTTAGCTTATCCCCACATGACAATTAATTGCTATTCCCACATACCGTGGGTTCAACAGCTTTTTTCCTTTTTTATTTCCAGTGTATTTTGATGTTTTTATTTTTAGTTGGTATGGAGAGAGGGAGTGAAGATAGTTTTAAGTGGATACACTTTTCCTTTAATGAAGGCAAGCTGTAGGTGGGTGATAAAGAGAAAAGATGAAATTGGAAATCATCATTCTCAGTAAACTATCGCAAGAACAAAAAACCAAACACCGCATATTCTCACTCATAGGTGGGAATTGAACAATGCAATCACATGGACACAAGAAGGGGAATATCACACTCTGGGGACTGTGGTGGGGTGGGGGGAGGGGGGAGGGATAGCTTTGGGAGATATACCTAATGCTAGATGACGAGTTAGTGGGTGCAGCGCACCAGCATGGCACATGTATACATATGTAACTAACCTGCACAATGTGCACATGTACCCTGAAACTTAAAGTATAATAAAAAATAAAAATAAAAAAACAAAAACAAAACAAAAACTAGCTGGGCATGGAAAAAAAAAAGAGAAAAGAGCTAGGCTTTGGATTCACACAAGACTGGGTTTAATTCCTAACTTTCTTACTTGCTACGCGTGTGACATTGGGAACGTTATTTACCACCCAATATGTTGTCATATGTGAAAAGTAGGAGAATATATCCTTCAAAGTTGGCTGTGCATAAGCAAGAAAGATATATGTGGCATTTAATTCAGTGCGTAGCACATGCTTATTGGCAGCATTAACTGAAACTCCTGTGACTACTATTCTTACCATTATTATTAATATTACTGCTTTCAGCATGCAGAGAGCTCTTATTTTTCTTACCCCCTAGCTAATTTTCTATTACAGCATATCAGTTTAGGGAAGCTGTGACAAAATCTTCACTTAAATCTTTGTCCACTTCAGATAAGTGGCCCTAGCATTGTTTCTTGCCCATCAAAGGACTTTAAATTAGTAGCTTCTGCTATGCAATACCCCACTGAGATAAGAGGTTTCCTTTTTGTCCTTTCCTTTTAACCTTGGTGGTATTTTACAAAGATGAACTCTTGAGCACCCAAGATGCTTCTGTCTTTTAGTGCATGTAAATGTTTGATTCTGCATGGACAGGCAAGATGTTAAATTGGTAAAGTATATCAAATTAGCTTTTAAAATAACTTTATTACAGTTCCTAAAGGAGAAATTATCTCTGTAATTCTAGAACTGCCCTCATACTTGCTGTATGTTGTGGATCAGCAAGTATAGTCAATCTTCTACTTGAGCAAAATGTTGATGTATCTTCTCAAGATCTATCTGGACAGACGGCCAGAGAGTATGCTGTTTCTAGTCATCATCATGTGTAAGTGTTTACATGAAAAGGCTAGTTAATGCTAAATTGAGGTTTAAAATAATTATAACAATTGCATCTTACATATCAGGTGAGATGTCATAGTTTGGTTCAGGTAGTTTTAGATTGGCCGTGAGTTAGTCCCCTGCATCAGCCAGAAATCAGACAAAAAGCAAGACAAGTTAGAAGTACCAATGGGTGCAGGATTCTTTACCTCAGGACTTTTAAGACCTTTATCCTTAGAGATCCCAATATTGTTCATTTCATCCAAGTATAACACCTATGCATGGGATAAAAAAGAGTATCACATCTTTGATTTTTCTGATTAGTTATTTGGGTCTTGAAATGTCCAGTTTAGCAGAAAGTCTTGTACTGTCTTCTGGGGACTATCTTCTACATACTCCTTGAATTTTTCAAGAACCAAAGGGGTTCACTAAATCCAAGGAAGACAGTCCCTTTTATCAAGTCAGAAGGAGGAGAAAAAAAAGGACATTCCAATCATTCTGTTGTTTCCATTGTTTCTGTTGCTGCATTGTTGCCACTCAAACTGGTTCTGCTGCCTGGTAATTGTTGACCTTTGACACCAAGATGCCCTTACTGATTCAGATCCCTCAAGTCTTCATGGGGATTCATACAGTGACTTTGAAGTTACAACATTTTTTTTTAGTTCCCTTACCTATGCTTATATGCTCAGCCATTGTTCCCAAAGCACCAGCACCCTGCTCTGGCCGCTGGGCATCCTGACTTTATCCGCACACAAAGTGAGCAAATTGACCCTTCCTCCTGTATTCAGAACCTAATGTGGAACCCACATCTTAGCCAAGAATTAGCTGAGACCTTCATGGTAAGAGATCCTTTGAGGCCGTTGTTGGTCTTTTCTCTAGCAGATATTAGGTGGGCTTGTTCTAAAGGGTCAGAGGGGTTCAAATAATGTGGCAGAAAGAGATCAGTGTTTGTTTCTTCTTCTTTGCTACCAGATCTATACTGTGAGGCACCTTTATATCCTGTGTAGAACCTTAGGCAGTAGAAAGTCCCATATGAGCCTTCCCCAAGCAGTGGCTCCCAGCTGTGGTTGGCCCCTTGAGTGATCTGATTTACATGATAATGAAAATCGTCCAAGCTACTTCCATCTCTAGCTCAAGATTTTAAAATATTATCAAATTGTACCTCACAGGAAGCCATTGAAGAGAATTCTCAGAATCTCAAGTAGGTTAAGTAAGTAGTGATGAGTCACGGACAAGAGCCAAGCCTTGTCCATGACTCGTCACAAATCATGTGTAAAAGTAGGGCTTTGTGCCTGCTTTGGCGGCACATATCCTAAAATTGGAACAATACAGAGAAAGTTAGCATGGCTTCTGCATAAGGAGGCAGCACAACTCTTTGAGGCATTCCATATTTTGTGCAGTCACTGGAAGATCATTTCACTATTTGCTGACTAGCTCTAAGGAAACAGTGTGAATCAAAGCAAAATGGGTGCCACCAAAATATCGAAATGTGATTTGTGCTGCAAAAATAGTCATGGAAGATGGTCTGTGAGATGATTTAGAGCTGAATAATGTGTTCGGTGCAAAATATATTAAGTATGTATGTCAAAAATTAGAGAATGTCAATTTGCAGCTTCTTCATGAAAACTGAAAAAAAATAAAAGTAGAGTTTTGGTCTCCCATGTCAGCTGGAATTGAACATCAATATAAAGCATTATCCTAACAAACATCTGCTGGCTCAGAGTTTGAGTCTGTAGAGAAGGATCATTGCTCCAAGCCAGGTCTTAACATCCATTGGTTTTTCTGCCCTTAGCACAACAAATTGGTCAACTCCGTAATAGTGGACAATCACATTATCTACTTTAATGAGAGATTTATGAAAAAATTTAGTTACAAACTATGACACAGTTGAGATGCCCTGAATTATAAGCCATAAGGAGTAGGACAACTAAGAAGCAAAATTAGGACTTAATAACATTTTCTGAAAACTACAGCATTTGCATATTAGAACCTGTGAACAAAATACACATGGGGTTTTATTTGGGATTCCAAGATAATTTTAGTCATAAAGTTTAGGAACAGATTATTCCATTGCTTTACTATTTCTCTGAGCATTTAAAAAATGTTACCTTGTTAAATATTTGTAACAACCTAGTGAAATAAGGCAGCAAAGTCCTCACTTTGTAGAAGAAGACATTGAGCCTAAGAGAAGAAATTTGTCCAAGAACTAATAGCTGTTCATTATGGAGCTAGGACTTATGCAGAGTTGGGACACTTTCTATTATGTCATGCTAATGCATGCTGATTTACTGGGTCACAGTGCCCTTGATTTATGAGCATTTCACCTAATTTTTTTTCTTCTTTAATTAGAAGCTTAAAGAAAAGTTTGTAGAATGTACTCATAAGTGTATGGGATAATACTGTTAAATTCTGATATTATGAAATTGTTTGAAATACTCTAAGAATTTTACATTTGGTAAGTATTTTTTATATCAGTATTAAAATAGTAATTTGGTTTATTACATTTTTATACATAGAATTTGTGAATTACTTTCTGACTATAAAGAAAAACAGATGCTAAAAATCTCTTCTGAAAACAGCAATCCAGGTAAGACTTGTGATAATGAATTACTTTAGGTCAGTTGTCCACAATGTTTTGGGCAGCAGGGACCAGTTTTCTGGAAGACAGTCTTTCCATGGGCTGGGGGAAGGTGGGGATGGTTTCAGGATTATTCAGCCATGTTTCATTTATTGTGCTACTTTATATTATTATTACATTGTAATATATAATGAAATAATTATACAACTTACCATAATGTAGAATCCGTGGAAACTCTGAGCTTATTTTTCTGCAACTAGATGGTCTCATCTGGGGGCAAAGTGAGACAGTGACATATCATCAGGCATTAGATTCTCATATGAAGCACACAACCTAGATCCCTCAGATGAGCAGTTCACAACAGGGTTCATGCTCCAATGAGTATCTAGTGCTATCACTGATCTGACTGGAGGCAGAGTTCAGGCGGTAATATGAGCCATGGGGTGTGGCTGTAAGTACAGGTGAAGCTTCCCTGGTTTGCCTGCTGCTCACCTCCTCCTGTGTGGTGTGGTTCATAATAGTCCATGGAGTGGTACCAGTCTGTGACCTGGGAGTTGTGGGCCCCTGCTCTAGGTGGTCCTACCGTAGATAAATAAATAAAAGTAAGGAATTTTTGATCACAAAAGAACGCCAAAGCACAAGTCATGTTACATATCCTTGTCCCAACAAGGTCTCACTCTTACTGACTTCATTCCTCCTCATTTGAAGTTGGAAAGAGATACATTTACTTTGTTGGAACAAGATGTGTTCTTCTACCTGCTGGTCAATTGTCTTGATAACAGTAATTTTGTTAGAACAAGATGCTCTGCTACCATTTACCAAAAGATTGTCATAATAAATATACAAATTGCCCAATTCTAGGCTCAGCAGATTATAATAAAAGTAGAAAAATGTTTCACATTAACAAAAATACTAGTATGCCACCTGGTTGTGGACACCTAATACATTGTATAACCCAAACTGTATTAGGACACCTTTAATTTAGCCATCTATTTATCAAAAAGCTTCTGTAAGTTAGGTTTTATAAGTTGCAGGAGACAAAGATGGAATAGATGTAGTTTTGATCTTTAAGGTGCTCATAGTAGAGCTGTCTCTTTCATTTCTGTGCTTTTTCAACAGAATTTACAAAGAAAACCTTTCTATGTTTTCACTTGTCCACTTAACAAATAACTATTAAATGTCTTTTAGATACTAATCATTTTTCTAATGTTACAGAACACACACAATTAAAAATACAGACAGGAGCTTGTTATTATCATTGTCATTTTTATTATTTTACTACTTTATTCAGTGCTTACTGTGTGCTAGATGCCCACTGGAAGCTTATAATTATGATTTATTATATATTAATTATGTGCCAGACATATGTGATGAGGAATGAAAGTTTTGAAAAAAAGTAGGTATGATTCAAGGTAAGCACGCAGAGTGAGAAGAATTTTTCTAGGTAAAGAAGCAGAAGAATAATGTTTGGCAGAAGGAACACGCAACAAGATTGTGTGTTTGCCAGAAGAACATCTAATGAGATTGCCTGTTTGGCAGGAAGAGCAGCAAGTGCAAAACACAAGATGCTGAGTGAACTTTGCAGGGTTTCTGAGCAGTTCACTTTTGCTAGTACCAAAAGTGTGAGACACCAGAGGTTGGGAATAAGGTGAATACTTAGCTAAGGCAAGTTTATGATAGACTTTTTTAATACTATAGAAATGAGTAGGTCTTACCCTGTGGGCCATGGGAAATTTACCAGGTACAATGCTTTGGACTGTAAATACTAGATGAGCAGTGGCTAAAACAGTAGGAACCAGAGTTGTTTTGGTTGTTCAGTGATATCCTAGGATCCCACTTGTCCCTCTTTCAGCTGTGCTGTTGGCAGTGTTTTATTCATGTCTCCTTTCATGGTTGGCTAATCCGCAGCAGCTCCAAACATCTTGTTCTCACAACACAACATTTCAAGGGCTGCTTTTCTTCACATGTGTCTTTTAAACAGGGAGAAAACTTAGAAGCATGCAAGGGGCTTCCTGTAACATTTCACTGGCTGGGTCACACCACATGCTCATTCCCAAACCAGGCACTGGGAAGGCAAATACATGATTAGCTTAGAATAAACATCTCTCTTTCTGAGGCTGAGGAGGGGGATTGGGATAATAAATATCCCAATAGACTTGTGTTTCTTCTGCAAGAAAGAATAAGGAATGGCTATTGATAGGGAGCCAACAATGTGTGCTGCAGGGGCTCATTGGAGAAATTTGAGCAGGGGAGTTACAAGATTAAATTTGAGTATTAAGGCATATTCTGCTTATGGTGTAAAATGGGTTAGCAAGCTTTTTCTGTAAAGGACCAGGTGGGAAATATTTTAGATTATGTGGTCTCTGTCATATCTACTTAACCAGGCTGTTGTCTGTTGTTGTAGTGTGAAAGCCACCATGATTATATGTAAGCAAACAGGCATGACTGAGCTCCTATAAAACTTTATTTACAAAGCCAAAAGGCAGATTGGATTTGGCCTGTGGCCTATAGTTTGCTGGGATTGATGGAAGATAACCATGTAAAGAAACCAGGAGAAAAAGGAAGCTTTTGCAGTAGTCAGCTATAGTTTCCATGTCACACATCCTTGGACTAGTATCAATGTATTCTAAGGTTTTCACCTGCCCATGGCAAAATAAAGTTTGGAATCTCAGTTACTCATTTTAATGTGTTGGCCTTTTTTTGGTGTTATGCTTTTTTCATTTGTTTTGCTTAATTTTTTTCATGTAAGAAATAACATTAATAGTTGGAAGGGTTGTTTGTAATAAAAGCCGTTTTGTAAATGTTTATGTTCTCAGTGGCAGTGGTAATATAAAGCAGAGGAAGAAGAGAGGTATAGTCAATATGATTTAGTGATAATTGAATGAGAAAGGTTTGGGGGACAGAGAGAAATGTCAGATAATTTACAGGTTTCCACGTTGTACACTAGTATTTAACCTGGACATGAGGAAGGAGTAGGAAATTTTCTCCATGACCTGTGTGAGTCACAGCTTCCAGAAAAGAAAGAGAGCAAGGAGCATATTAAGGAACCACAGCAAAGTCAGTCCTAGAGTGCCCTGCTTGACTTCATGTCATAGTTCTGACTTCTAAAAAATCATTTTCTGCAAAATGTGCTTTGTGTTTTTCCCCTCTTGCAGCCTGCAGCCAAACAGAATCCCTTTAGCAGGGCATTTTTGTGTTCTTCCTTTAAACAAAGTAACATAAAAATAACAAAAAAGAGTAAGAGAAAGAGTGTTTTTTGTATAGGCTAGCATTTAACTTAAACTTGAGAGCGAGTACTAGGATTATACTTAGAATTTATGGACTCGGTAGGAAGACTAGATAGAAATCTAAATATTGCTGACTCAAACACAGTGTGTTTTTTTGCTTTATTGTCACAGCTCTGAATTCACAACTATTAGTTATATTCATATACACTATAACTTTATAAAGCACCTTCCCAAACAAATATTAAGTGATTTATTATAATTTCTATGACTTATTATAGAATTGACTTTCCAAGTGTTCATGAGAATTATTGAGAATTTGCTACATAGTATCATCTCAGCTGTGTCCACATGAGCTAGCTGTCACCTTGTCTTAATGAATAATGGCTCACTAGGAATATTGGTTTTGACATTAAAATGATCTACATCTAAATACAGATAGGACCAGGGACCACTCTTGAACGTTAATCTCTAAGCGTCTTAAAAGTACACATAAGGCTTTCATAATCTGACTTCTGCCCTACTCTACATCTTTAGCCCTTTTCCCTGTGTGCCCTTTCTCTGGCATTACTGAGTGGCTCTTAATGCCCTACTCACTCCTCCTTCTATTGCAGGCAAATACTTTCACTCTTTCAGGCCTCGCTCCTGCTCTTGCTGCTGTGTGGCATGCTGTCACCCTTTCTTGCCCTCTACCACTTTTAATCTAGCTAGCCTCAATATTTAAGTCTCTGCTTGGGCAGGTGTTCTAGAAAAGCCATCCCTGACAGGCTTTATTTTCATTCTTTTTAAACCCTAACACCTAGCATGTGTGTAGCAGGACTCAATAAGAAATTTCTGAGTAAAATAAAGACTGTTTTTACAAAGATGATGTGCAAGACTGTCCTCTGCAGTCTTGGAGTAGAGGGGACAGACCTGTGGAGGAATAATGTACAGTTCAGGTGGTAAAGGTGCAGTAGAAAAATCAGTGAGGTCCTAAGGCTACCTCAAGAAAGGAGTTACCTGTTTATCTGGGGAAAGATCTGCAGAATCAAGGAAGACTTCCCATAGCATTGTTTTAAAAGATGAAAATAAGGCTGGGTGTGGTGGCTCACACCTGTAATTGCAGCATTTTGGGAGGCTGGAGCAGGTGGATCACAAGGTCAAAAGATCAGGACCATCCTGGCCAATGGTGAAACCCCATCTCTACTAAAAATACAAAAATTAGCTGGGCATGATGGTGTGTGCCTGTAATCCCAGCTTCTCAGGAGAATGAGACAGAAGAATCATTTGAACCAGGGAGTCAGAGGTTGCAGTGAGCTGAGATTGTGCCACCGCACTCCAGCCTGGTGACAGAGCAAGACCCTGGCTCAAACAAAAAAACAAAAAAAAAAAAAGAAAAATGAATATAAATTTGTCATAATAGTGGATGGAAACATTTTAGATGTTAAGAAGACATTATACACTAACAAAGGTGTCAGTAGTAATTTTGGAAATCATTTGTAAGGTACTATTGTTGCAGAAAACAGGAGGCAGGAGAGACCCAGTGGGTCAAACAAGAGGATTTTATTTAGGTGCACACCAGCTCAGCGGATTTGCATCAAAAACCTGAGCCCTGAACAAAGACAGGGCTTGGCTTATATAGGCAAACTTACAGAAGCAGAACAAAGGCAGTTAATCATATAGTGACAGTTTTGCAACCACTGCATAGCTTGTGACCTTGCAGCTGCATTGAAGGAAAACAAGAATTTGCAAAATATATGCATTTGTAAAAATAGCTATGAATAAATGCTGAGGGGGAGGGGAGATGGTAAAGGAATTTGTTTTCTTAACTTTTCTCTGGGATGTCTGGAGCCCATACCTGTGGGCTCTGGCTTCTCAGACAGGGTCACCACGACCTTTCCTGGGCCCTGCCTGATACTATCCTTAGAGTCAGAGTAGCTAAGTGCAGGAAAACTTGTTTCTCTTTAAAACTAAATTTTCTTTTCTTTACATTTCCTGCTTCACCATTAGGAAGTGAACAACATACTGAGTTACCTTATATGTTTCTACTGTATTTTAAAGTTGTGTTTCTGGTGGTTTTGTTCATTTATGTGGGGTGGATGAATTTGTGAGTGAAACACATCAGGTGTCTCCCCAAGTGGTTTGTTGAAGTTTTGGAGAATTATTTCCTAAGTAACTATTTCATGAAAGACTAAACACTCAATTAATGAAATAAAATAAAATGTTGTCTTCAATCTATTTTTATAAAGGCAATAGTTTTTAACTGTTCTAAGTGGTTCATCTTAACTGAATATATGGATTTCTCAACAGAACAAGACTTAAAGCTGACATCAGAGGAAGAGTCACAAAGGCTTAAAGTCAGTGAAAATAGCCAGCCAGAGGCATGGAAAATTTTAAATTTAAATTTTTGATTTAATGTTGTTTTCTTTGCTTTAACAATATTAGATAGTCCAAATGAAATTACCTTTCAGACTAGGTTTTAAGAATCAATAGATTCTTTTTTTAAGAATTTTTTAATAAGATTCTTAAAATTTATTTTAATAAATTCAGCAATCTCATTAACAGAAGAATCAATAAATTCTAATTTAACATTTGATATTTAGCTTAAAAACATAACCACTATAAAATTTAAAATACCCTTATTTTACAGTATTCTTATTTAAAATATTCTTATCTGCCTTTTTGATTAGCTTATAGCTAATCTTTCCTTTTGGAATAGAGGCAAAAACATATTCCAGACCTTTGTTTGTTCTTTTATTTTAACAACACCCTAACATGATAAAGTAACATCAATTATTGGATTATATTATTAAGCAAAAGAACTATGAACAATGTAACACTGAAGGTCCCTGAGCTGGATTCATGGTTAAAGAATAATCACGGCCAGTGATTGAAAATCTGCAGTTTTATATTGTCAGTCACTGATACCAAGGTTAAAGACATATTCTGCCTTGTGATCTCTCACTGACTTCAGCATTTCTGTTCAGGGAGGGAACCAGGTCATAAAAGCAACCCAACTGCCTATTACAAGAATCATATCTTGCAGAATGGGACATTTGGTGTTAGTGCACAAACACAATAACCTTTTCCTTATTTTAGTTGCAGAAAATCAGTACAGATTATTAAAAAAATTTTATCCACTATAATTAGTACACCTTAGAATATATTAGAACTGGACTTAAGCAGATCATCTAGATACATAACACTATCATATTACAGCATATAATTTCAATTAAAATGTAAGAATTTGCATTTCTTTCTGTTTGGTGTTGATTTCAGCTCCTAATAATTTAAAGCGTGCCTACAATCCAATTAGGAATCTTTTAAAAAAGCACTTCAGTGCACTATAGGGGCTCACTAGTTAGGGTTTCATGAGATATACTTTTTCAAGTGAGGAAGCCTTTGGAACACTACAAATCATCTGCTAATTCATTTTTGGTAGATTTAACACATAACAAATTAAGTTTAGTCCAAACAAATGGTAACAAAGTTAAGTTTGCTGGTTCATGTTTTTATTCTCCCTTTGTCTGAGGTGAATTATTTTTCACATGTTAGTCAGAAGCCAATGATGTGGCAGTTGCTAAACATAGATTAAAAAATTAATTCTTAATTTTAATTATTTATTTAATTATTTTAACAGTTAAATTTTATTTTATTTTCTAATTTTTCATGTCCATACTTGATTACTTAAGAATAAAATTATTTTAACATGCATTCCAAAAGAGGAGACATACACGGAAATACAACAAGCAAATTAACCTTCTATTTTTGCATCTGCAGAAAATGTCTCAAGAACCAGAAATAAATAAGGACTGTGATAGAGAGGTATACCTTTATGTTCAAATGTTTCTGTTGAATTAGATTTTTATGTTATGCTGTTTAACAAAGTGTAGTAAGTGTAGGCATACATGATCCTATCATGTAAGTAGCATAAATCACCAGTGAAAAATTTAATATTTAACTCAGAAAGAATTCTGTACATTGAGTTTTCAAGAGATACAAACCCTAGAGAGATTCTTTCATTATTATGGAACAATCCTGAATGGTGCCATAAAATGCTAGGTAATGCCACTTTAGGAGCTTTGGACCAATCATTTTATCTTTCTTGGTTTTAGTCTGATTATCACTAGATAATGTGGCTAAAGAAGATAATTACTTATTCTTTGTAACTTCCAGCTGGAAAATTGTATAGCTATTGAATGTGAAATTTTGGGAGCATCTAATTTTCTGGAATTCCACGCTTGCACTTCAGCAGTTTCACTCTGCTCCTTGTGTTGTGGCAAACTTTGGTTTTCATGTTTCAGTGAGCACCATCATGTTTTTGATATCCAGGAACCAAACGAAAAAAGAACGATCAAAGGCAGTGGGGGAGGAGAATATCTTAGTGCAGAAAAGGGCCATCTTCCTTTCTATTCCTGAAGTCCCCCAGTGTCTCATCCTCTACATCTGAGTGTTTAATGTAAAATCTAGGTGGTAAAGACAGAAGACACATTTTGTGTCTATGTCGTTTTATTTTTGTGTTCCCACGAGTCAAATGGGGTAAATTCATATATAAGATTCTGAAGAGTTTTTGGGAATAAAGGCACAAAATGAAGGAGGGCCCTTTTTGAATTTTGGAAAATTCAGTTTTATTCAGTCAAACAGCAATCAAGCAAACTTTACAAAAATTTCAATGATATACTAATGACATGATAATTACATCTTAAAATTATACGGTAATAGTTCTGTATATATGATCAAATTTAAGTGTGAGATTTTTAATGACTAAAATAATGGCAAACTGAATCAATTGATAAAATCAATTAAAAAGGTTATTTTTATTCAATAAAGTGATAACCATCCTTAATATCAAACTTCCACTCAAGGTTGAAGAAGAAATAAAGAAGCATGGAAGTAATCCTGTGGGATTACCAGAAAACCTGACTAATGGTGCCAGTGCTGGCAATGGTGATGATGGATTAATTCCACAAAGGAGGAGCAGAAAACCTGAAAATCAGCAATTTCCTGACACTGAGAATGAAGAGTATCACAGGTAAGCCTATGGCAACATTTAATAGGAGATAACTATATGCTGTCAAACTAATCTTAATTTGGGCTAATATTCATGATGAACAAATTTTATACTTTTACTAGAAAATTCAGCCTTGCCTGTTAATCAGAAAACTGAAAATCAGTAAACAATGAGTTACCGTTTTTTCCAGTCATTAATTTATTTGAAAAATAACCAGCATTGGCAAATGTGAGGGAAAAGGCATTTTCTTTTCTTTTTAATGAACTTTTATTTTAGCTTCAGAAGTTCATGTGCAGGTTTATTATATAGGTAAACTGTATCATGGAGGTTTGGACTACAGATTATTTCATCAGCCACATAATAAGCAAAATACTCGAGAGGTAGTTTTTTGGTTGTCTCCCTCCTGCCACACTCCACCCTCAAGTAGACCCTGGTGTCTGTTATTCTCCTCTTTGTGTCCATGAGTTCTCATTGTTTAGTTCCCACTAATGAGTAAGAATATGTGGCATTTGATTTTCTGTTCCTGCATTAGTTTGCTTAGGATAATGGCCTCCAGCTCCATGTGTGTTGCTGCAAAGGAAATGGTCTCATTGAAAAAGACATTTCATACACTGTTGGTAAATACATTTTGAACATTAATTTAGTAGCATATTCACACACACATATATATAACATAGTAAGGATATATAGGTATGTTAAGGATATTTGTATAGATTTGTCACATATATACTTATGTGTAAGGACATTTCTTACAGCATTATTATATCAAAAAGATAGATCCTTATCAATAGGAATTTATCATCAAAAGTAAATCCTTACCAATAGGAAATACCCCGAAAATAATACAGTATGCAACCATTTTTTACAAATGAGGTTAGATCTAGAGTATACTGATTATTCACAATTAAAATATTTAAAGCATTTAGTTTGGTAACACATCTTAAGATAATTTTGTTAGAATTCTTGTAATATCTGCTGTGTTGCAAATGGAAGCTACACGCTACATTGACACCGTACCTTGTTAGCAACAAGATTGCTAGTTATTAAATTTTTGTTGTCAGTGCCTGAGTGCCGAAATATTGGACCTTCAATCTGAATATTGCCAAGGGATTGTACATGGGGATCTATATTTAATATAAACATTTGAGTATATTGGGTAAAACTTTTATTAAAATATATCAAAGTATCTTTCATCTGCTAAACCAGGAGCTGGCCAGCTTTTTCTGCAAAGAGCCATTTAGTAAATATTTCAGGCTTTGTGGACTATATATATTTATTTTTTTTGAGACAGGGTCTCTGTTGCCCAGGCTGGAGTGCAATTGTGTGATCACAGCTCACTGCAGCCTTGACTTTCTGGGCTCTAGTAATCCTCCCACCTCAGCCTTTCTACTGGCTGGGACCCCAAGTGTGCAACATCACACCCAGCTAATTGACTCTATGGACTGTAATGTGAATAAGCATGGCTGTGTTCCAAGATTCTTTACTTACAAAAACAGGCAGTGGGCTGGATTTGGCCCACAGGTGCTAATTTGCTGACCCGTGTGCTAAAAGGAAGGTGCTGCTAATGCAGTAACACTTATTTGTAAAAGTGCCCTGCATGTGTGACATTATCTTTCCTTTGAGAAAAGGATATATTTCAGTATTCACCTCACCATATTTTTCCACAGTGATGTCATATAATTTTTAAAATTTCATTTGTAAAATAAGATTATTTTCTGCATTTCTGCCACTTTATTCCTGTCAGTAGAACTCAGTATTTCACTGTGATCAATTACTTTGTATATTTGATGAGTATCAACTGTCCTAGAATTGGCTGATTTTTATCAAGCAAGAAATACTCTCCTTGAAGCTTTTAGTTTTTCTTGGTCTTTATGTATAAGCATGAACAAAATAATAATCAGCTTCTGTAATCTAGAAATGGTCAAGGCAACTTTTAGTTCTATAGTTTTAAGAATTTAACACCTTGGTCTGGCATTTTTAATGCCAAATGTGTATAATTTTTATAAGCTTTAAAATATGTAATTGTTATATAAAATTTGAAAACTACACCTGTTATGTAAAATTTGAAACTATTTGTCTACTACTTTTCCATGACTGTGGAAGAAAATTACAACATTCTCAGCCATGACTCCTAAGTATGATGTCCTTAAAAGAACTGTCTACACTCACGAACTCAAATTTTCTTTTCATTCACTCTTGATCTCATGCCAGTAAGTCTTCAATTTCAGCAGTCCTCCAACGTTTTTCCTCAAAATTATCACTAATTTTTTTCTGTAATCTAGGCACTTTTCTTCCACCTCATTTTATTTAATCTGTCAGCAATATTTGAGGCAATGGAGGACATCTCCTCCCTAACGGCATCTTCACTTGGCTTTCAGGACCTCACTGCCTCAGGCTTTTCCTCCTACCTTTCTAGTCCATTCATCATGTTCTGTTTTGCTTGCTCCTCCTCATCTTTCTCCTTTTGGACATTGTTGTTTCCCAGGGCTCACTCCTCAATCTTCTTTCTTGTGACTTTTTCTTTTTCTTTTTTGGAGACAGAGTTTTGCTCTGTCACCCAGGCTGGAGTTCAGTGGTGTGATCTCGGCTCACTACAGCCTCTGCCTCCTGGGTTCAAGCGATTCTCCTGCTTCAGCCTCCTGAGTAGCTGGCATTACAGGTGCATGCCACCATGCTCAGCTGATTTTTGTATTTTTAGTAGACACAGCATTTCCCCATGTTGGCCAGCCTGGTCTCAAACTCCTGACCTCAGGTGATCTGTCTGCCTTGGCCTCACAAAGTGTTGGGATTACAGGTGTGAGCCACTGCACCTGGCCCCTCATGACTTTTTCTACTGTGTATATGCTAGTGATTTCCAAATGTATGTCTCCAGCTCAGATCTCTCTCCTTAATTCCAGATTTCTATATCAGCCTGCCTACTTGTGACATCTCTATTTGGTTAGTTATTGGGTATCACACACTTGTCAGATCCAAAATTGGGCTACTGATGTCCTTCCTGAAATCTACACCTCATGCAGTCTTTCCTACTTTGGTTAAGGGCAACTCTTCCAGTTGCTCTGCCAAAAATCTCGGTGTCATTCTTGACTCATCTCTCTCTCTCTCTCTCTGACACCTCACATCTAATCTCTCAGTAAATCTTGTCAGGTCTACCTGAAGAATATGTCCAGAAGCCAGTCATATCTCATACATCTGAGCCACCCTCATCTGTAGTCTAAATGAGTGCCATAGACTGGGAATTGATAGTCCTGGTTTTTAAAAACTTCCCTTTTCATCAATTCTTAACTCAGTGGATGTATTTAAAAGATAAGTCAAATTGTGTCATTCCTCTGCCCCAGCCCTTCTGATTATCTCCCATTTCACTCGGAGTACATGTCAAAGTTCCTCCTAATTATCTCCCTTGCTCTGCTTCAGCCACACTGAATTCTTGCCATCCCTTATCTACCCCTAGTGCTTAAAGATGCCAGGCACACCTCTGTGATTCGCAGTTCCCTGTGTCTGGAATGCTTTTTCCCCAGATATCCTCCTAGCTTTCTCTTTCCATTCCTTCAGTTCTTTATTTAAAACCCCCTTTCTAAGAAGAAGAGGAAAAAGGGTAAAAAGAAACACATTAAGGAACAACCACTTTCTGAGGAAGAACGGTGTGCTACCCAGACGCGTCATGCTTAAGGTTCAATTGGGTGCCTACCAGGGATGCTCTCTAACGTAACGAAGGGAAGGTTCAGTGAAACAAAGTGATTTATCATCTCTAACTTCAAACCCATTTGTATCTTGACATCAACGCTGTTAACCTTATGTCATCATTTCTTAGAGACTTTGATATACAAATAAAAGGTTTTTGTATTAGAAAAAAAAAATCCCCTTTCTCAGCAGGGACTTTTCTGACCATCCCAACTTTCCCACCACCCTCCCCATCAAACACATAAACATTTCATTTTCCTGCTTTAGTTTTTCTCCTGTAACATCCTGTATATTTTGCCTTGTCTGTCTGTTGTTATTGTGTGTTTTTCTCACTCTCATGAATAGGGTTTTTATTTTTCACAACCATATCCTCACTGCCTAGAAAAAGGCCTAGCATATTGGATGAAGCTACCTAATAAATACTTATTAAATGAGTGAAGGGAGTTTATCCTGGATATATTGTTTGATTAATTCTCACTTTAAAAATGTTTGACGTGGTTCATTCTAACAGTTTTGCCCAGTAATTACATGCATTTTTAAAATTGTTTTGGCTTTTTATAATAAGCTACATTCTTTATATTAATTTTTTTATTTAGAGAGAAAAGCCCAATATTGTGGTTATTCACTATTTATTCTTTTACTAGTAATCATAATTGTAATTATGGCAAACTGAGTCAGAGGAATTGCAAAGTTTACTGGTATTTTATTTTATTTTGAGATGGAGTCTCGCTGTATCCCCCAGGCTGGAGTTCAGTGGTATGATCTCAGTTCACTGCAACCTCCACCTTCTGGTTCATGCATTTCTCCTCCCTCAGCCTCCCAAGGAGCTGGGATTATGGGGGCATGCCACCACGCCCAGCTAATATTTGTATTTTTAATAAAGATGGGGTTTCACCCCATTGGTCAGGCTGGTCTCGAACTCTGTACCTCAGGTGATCCACCCACTTCGGCCTTTCAAAGTGCTGGGATTACAGGCATGAGCCACCGCACCTGGCCACTAGTATTTTATTTAAAAAAAAAATTAGGGTGGCACATTTAATGGACTTACAAATTCTTTTCAAGGGATTATGAACCTTTGGTATTTGAAATAAAGAGACAGAGTTGGAATTTTTTGCTTCCTATAGTAAGAGGAATACTGGTCAGGCACTGTCTATTCTGATGGAGCAGGTGCTGCTGCATGGCTGTATTTCAGAAGCAAGCTGCTCACATTGATATTGGTTGGTGAGCAAGAGCAGTGGTCATTGATTGACTAGATTTCAAACTGGCTTTGTGTGGCTTCTTGTTACCATTGGTACAAGTCATTTCTTTCCTAAGTTAGAGTCAACTTTAACCGAAAATTTTCTGTATAAAAGTTGCCTTCAATTAACTATGTTCAAAATGAAACTATTTTATATTCCAGAATTGTAGACTTCATTTTAAAATTTTGGTCAAGATGAATTGGTTAATAACAGCTCTCAGGAATATCTGTTTTCTTTTTTAAAAAATACATATTTCTCTGTATAATTTATTCCTTAAAATTAATTATTTTCTTTCTGTTTTTGGTATTTTTAGAAGCTTTTGCTCAAGTCCTAACATAATCTCCAGTAGGAGATTTTAGTCTCTTTGTCAGTTCATGTATGTATATGGTAGTGATACTCTACTCTCTTTTTAAATTCCTTTTCTTGTTCACTTTCTTCTCAGTACAATAACGGTGATATTCTTATATATCTTTACCTCATTTAAAAGTAATTACAGTTTGCTGCTGGCAAATTCAGCTTTTTATATTTTGACTAAATACTAGGCTAAAAGTGAAGAAAATTTACCAGGTCATTTTATTTTCAAACAAAATCATTACTAATAAAAATTGCTATATTTGAAATATAAATAATGACATTTTGATATTTTAAAAGTAAGGATACACCCCCCCCCCAATAGTTTGGCTTTGTGTTTCCACCCAAATCTCATGTCAAATTGTAATTCCCAGGTGTTGAGAGAAAGACCAGCTGGGAGGTATTGGATCATGGGGTCGGTTTCCTCCATGCTGTTCTCGTGATAGTGAGTTCTCACAAGAGCAGATAATTCTATAATGGGCTCTTTCCCTTTCACTTCTCTCTCTCCTGCCACCTTTTGAAGAAGTTGCCTGCTTCCCCTTTACCTTCTGCCATGATTGTAAGTTTCCTGAGGCCTTCCCAGCCATGTGTAACTGTGAATCAATTAAGCCTCTTTCCTTTATGAATTACCCAGTCTCAGGTATACATATATACATATATATATATAAAATTTTCTTTATTCCACTCATCAGTTGATGGACACTGGCTGATAACATATCTTTGCATATGTGAATTGTGCTGCAGTAAACATATGTATATAGGTGTCTTTTTGAGAGTATGATTTCTTTTATTTTGGGTAGGTATCCAGAAATGAGAATGCTGGATAGAATGGTAAGATCTACTTTAACAGAATTCTCCATAATGTTTTCCATAGATTTGTACTAATTTGTATCCCCACCAGCAGTGTATAACTCTTCTTTTTTCACCACATCCACACCAACATCTGCTGTTTTTTTTATTTTAGTAGTGACCATTCTGGCTGAAGTGAGGTGATATCTCACTGTTGTTTTATTGTACATTTCCCTGATGATTAGTAATATTTAGCATGTTTTTATATTCTTGTTCACCATTTGTACATCTTCTTTTGAGCAATGTCTATTCATGTCATGTGCCCACTTTTTAATGGAATTATTTGTATTTTTCCTGCTGATTTGTTTGAGTTTCTGGTAGGTTATGGACATTAATCCTTTGTTAGATTCATAATTTGCCCATATTTTCCCCATTGTATAGGTTGTTGGCTCACTTTGATGATTATTTCTTTTGCTGTGCTGAAGCTTTTTACTTTAATTAGGTCTTTATTTATTTATTTATTTTTATTTTTGTTGCTTTTGCTTTCAGGGTCCTCATCATAAATTATTTGCCTAGGCTAATGTCTTCAGGTCTTAGGTTTAGGCCATTAATCCATCTTGAATTAATTTTTTTACATGGTGAGAGATAGAGATCCAATTTTATTCTTCTATATGTGACTATCTTTTTTTCCCAGCACCATTTGTTGAATAACGTGTGCTTTCTCCAGTGTATGTTTTTGTATCCTTTCTCAAAGATCATTTGGTTGTAAGTGGCCTTTTTTCTGAGTTGTCTATTCTGTTCCATTGATCTGTGTATCTACTTTTATATCAGTACCACGATGTTTGTTACTGTGGCCTTAGAGTATAATTTGAAGTCAGGTAATGTGATGCCAACATGTTTGTTCCTTTTGCTTGGCATGTCTGTTGCTATTCAGGCTCTTTTGTGGTTCTACATGAATGGCAGCTTTTTAAAATAACTCTGTGAAGAATGACATTGGTACTTTGGTAGAAACTGTATTGACTCTGTAGACTACTTTGGGCACTATGGCATTTTCACAATATCAATGCTTTCAGTCCAGGAACATAGAATGTATGTTCATTTATTTGTATCATCTGTGATTTTCTTCAGTGGTGTTTTCCAGTTATCCTTTGATAGATCACTCACCTCCTTCATTAAGTATATTCCTAGGTATTTTACTGTTTTGCAGCCATTGTAAAAAGAATTGGATTCTTGATATGACTCTCAGCTTGGTTGTAGTTGGTGTATAGTGGTACTATTCATTGGTATTTGTATATTTTGTAACCTCTGAGACTTTACTAAATTCATTTATCAAATCTAGGAGTGTTTTGTAGGAGTCTGTAGGGTTTTCTAGGCATAAGATCATATCATTGGTGAAGAGAGAGTTTGACTTTCTCTTTTCCAATTTGGATGCCCTTTATTTCTCTTGCCCAATTGCTCTGCCTAGGGCTTCCCAGTTTTCTTCTTAATATGCATGAAATAAAAGTAAAATTGAAAGCGATTGTTGATCAGTTTATTTCACATTTCTCTCTCATACACAGATAAAATGAATTCAAAGTTCTATGTTAAAAACACAATATTAGAGCCTGTCTTGTTCCAAAGGGAATTTCTAAGTTGTCTATAGATTACAGAGGAATCAAGAATATAAGTGGAAACTGTTTCCAAAAAATAAACATAAAAAGTTTAGGTTAACACAGGGGTTTCCAATCCCCAGGCCACAGACCAGTACCAGTCCCTGGCCTGTTAGGACCTGGGCCACACAGCAAGAGGTTAGTGGTAGGGAGCAAGTGAAGCTTCATCTGTTTACAGCCACTCTCTGTCACTCACATTACCTTCTGAGCTCCTCCTCCTGTCAGATCAGCGGTGACATTAGATTGTCATAGGAGTGTGACTTGAACCCTATTGCAAGCTGCTCATGCATGGGATATAGGTTGTTCACTCCTTATGAGAATCTATTGCTTTCTGATCTGTCACCATCTCCTGTCACCCCTAGATGAGACCATCTAGTTGCAGGAAAACAAGCTGAGGGCTCCCACTGATTCTACATGATGGCGAGTTATATAATTATTTCATTATATATTAGTAATAATAGAAATGAAGTGCACAATGTATGTAATGTGCTTGAATCATCCTGGAACCATCCCCCACCTCAGGTCCATGGAAAAATTATCTTCCACAAAACTAGTCCCTGGTGCCAACATGACTGTGAGAGCAGGTTTAACAGATGTGAGACCCCTTTGTCTTGTCTTGGATTAATGTGCAGATATACATTGTGTGAATGACATCTGATGGTGCCATCTTGCCCTGTAGATCATTTTAGGGACACCTCCAGTATTTCATGAAAATTAAAATTTCTTCTAGTGACGAACAAAATGATACCCGGAAACAACTTTCTGAAGAACAGAACACTGGAATATCACAAGATGAGATTCTGACTAATAAACAAAAGCAGATAGAAGTGGCTGAACAGAAAATGAATTCTGAGGTATTTTCTTTAGTCATTTTCAAATGTTTTCATATGTGTATATATTTTTAAAAAGCTTTATTTTGGAAGGTATAAAGGATTTTTAAATCACATATATACACACCCTGTATATCCTTGGTCATATATTTATATATGTACATATAGGATAAAACCATGTTCTTAATTCAACTGCATTTGCCTGCAACAGTCGAGTAGTGACCTTCACAATGGCCTCAATCCAAAGGAAAAGCATTTGATATTTTTCATAAGAATTGATTATCTTTCCAATATCAAAAATAAGTTTTGCTACTAACAACAGATTTGCTAGTTTTGGGACATTAGTTCTTTTTAAAATATTAATAGAGAAGTCAGTTTGTTATTTTCACTAATAGGAAAGTAGGAAATGTACAGCTGGGTCAGAGGCCACATTGTGGATGTCATTATCCTTGCTTTTGAGGAGAGGAACAGTTTGCTCCGAGTAGTTTCTCATTTCAATGCAAAGAGCTTTGAAAACAATGACATGCCATGATACACATTTAGTGATAATTTATTGATAAGTATTTTGTTCCCAGATGAATAGTTCAGTATGTTTCCCCTATTTCACACTTACTACTACAATGTTTCAAACATTATAAAGAGGAAAGAAAAGTTATTGCAATGGCAAATAATCTCATGATTTCTAAGAAAAGCCTTGTAAGTTATATCTTATTTACCATTTGTATTTTGAAATAAAAGGTTTCTTTTGTATTTATATATTTACACCACAGAAGCAACTGTGATTTTGTGGAGGATCACTAGCAGTAGCATCAGAAGACCTGGCAAAAATCGTGCACATTGCATATATACGTGTGTGTGTGTGTGTGTGTGTGTGTGTGTATTCTAGATGGAGTCTTGCACTGTCACCCACGCTGGAGTGCAGTGGCACAAACTCAGTTCACTGCAACCTCTGCCTCCCAGGTTCACACGATTCTCCTGCCTCAGCCTCCTGAAGTGCTGGGATTACAGGTGTGAGCCACTGGTCCTGGCTGCATATATTTTTTGACCTCTCCTTTTAAGAATCGTGATCCTAAATGAGTTGAGTGTTGTATGTAGAAGTGCAATGCTTAGATGCAGATGTGTACATTGTAGAAGGGTACAATGCTTAGATTTAACAGTTATGAATAAATGTAATGCTTACAACTGACTGTAAAAATATTAGAAAAGCAGTATATTGATAAAACATTCCTCAGAAAAAGGAACTTAAAGAACTTTGAGGAATTGCTTCTGTCCTAATATATGCATAGCTAAGGCTCTTATGATGGTGTGGTTTATAGGTTAGATATCAGAGTGTAAACCCAATTTAAAAAATGTAGCCAAATATATTAATCTTCTATTTTATGCCTCTGGGTTTTTTGTAATTCAGAGAAAGGCTTTTCCAATTCTGAAATTCTTAAAAATCCTCTAGTGATTTATTTTTCATGGTCTTTAGATAAATATTTCAACTTTTTGGAATTTACACTCTTTTAGATTTGAAGTTTTGTCCAACTTTTTTCCAGTTAAATATCCACTATGGGAATTATTTCATTATACAAATATAAATGTCATTCTTTAATTTTAGAAGAAATCATGATATGTCATTCTATTGAGTGCTAACTAAAAGTTCCCTTTGTTTACTTAGCTTTCTCTTAGTCATAAGAAAGAAGAAGATCTCTTGCGTGAAAACAGCGTGTTGCAGGAAGAAATTGCCGTGCTAAGACTGGAACTAGATGAAACAAAACATCAGAACCAGCTAAGGGAAAATAAAATTTTGGAGGAAATTGAAAGTGTGAAAGAAAAGACTGATAAACTTCTAAGGGCTATGCAATTGAATGAAGAAGCATTAACGAAAACCAATATTTAAGTACAGTGGACAGCTTAGGATTTTGACAACTGAGAATGCTCAGTTCTGAACTGGAGAATGTAAGACACAGCTAGGAAACACTGGAAATGGAAATTCAATCATGTCATTGTAGACTGACTACTGCTCTACATGATTGTGATCAAAGTCAGATAGCTGAAAGGGACTTCTTTCCAGAGAACAAACATGAACAGGTTTATTTACAGGAGAAAATGAATTCTCATATATCTCACCTAAAAGATAACAGTGAGATTCTTTCTGAACAACTCTAACGCTGACAGTAAAATTAACAACCTAAAAATTAAGCTCCATCACACAGGATAAATTCTGAGAGAAAAGATGAGGCAGGCCACCATCTTTCCTGTTTGGGCAACTTAGCCATTCCAGCGTGCGGGCTTTGGAGAGTACAAACCCACCAGGGGCAGAAGAGATCCTGTGGCATAGCACAGCTGCTTTACCAAATCATGGCCAGAATGCTTCTGTAAGCAGGCCCCTGATCCTGTTCCTCGTCACTGGACAGGATCTCCCACCTGAGGCCTCCAGCTACACCCACCAGTGTTCCCTGGCCAATGGAGATTTGAAACCTTCCTGGGACAGAGTTCCCAGAGAGAGGGGTGGGCCATGACCTTTGTTGTTTGGGCAACTAGCCCTTCTGGCCTGTGGGCTTTGGAGAGCCCAAGCTGACCAGGGGTGGAAGTGGTACCTCAGCACAGAACAGCCACCCTGCGAAAACGTGGCCAGATTCTTGTTTAAGCCAGTCCCCAACCACATTTCTAATCACTGGCTGGAGCCTTTCAACCAGGGTCTCCAGCCACCTTCACTGCTGTTCTCTGGCTGACAGAGGTTTCAGGCCTCCTGAGTGAGAGCTCCCAGGGGGAGGACCAGACTGTCATCTTTGCTGTTTGGATGACTCAGCCAGTTCAGTCTTAGAGTTTCAGAGTGTCTGAGGAGACCAGGGGCTGAATTGAACCCCCCGCACAGCATAGCCACTCTAGAAAAACGTGGCCAGACTTCTTTTTTAAACAAGTCCCTATTCCTGTTCCTCCTTACTAGGCAAGACTTCTCAACTTGCTTCCAGTCACATCCTACAGGTGTGTTCAGATTGGCAACAGGTTCATACCTCAGAGGTACAGAGCTCCCAGAGGGAAGGGCAGGTTATCGTCTTTGCTTTTTCGCAGGCTTCACTGCTGATACCTTCAGCCACTGGAAAATACGAGGCAATTGGCGACTGGAGTGGACCCCCAGCATACCACGGCAGCCCCACAGAAAAGTGGCCAGACTGTTATGTGGGTGCCCATTTCCATATCTCCTCGATGGGCAGGTCTTCCTGGCCTGGGTCTCCAGCCAGCCCCCCACTTGAGCTTTCAAGCCAGTAGCAACTCAGCAACTCCCTGGACAGAGCTTCCAGGAGCAACAGAAATCCTCTCTGCCACTGCCTCTGCAGTGGAACTGCCCTTGCTACCCTCAGAATATCAAGGGAGCAAAGACCCTAAGTACCATATTGACACCTCCAACAAGCTGCAGTTGACACAAGGAACAAGTCAGTCCATCTTCCACAGGTACAACACACCCCTTACTGCTCATCACCAGACAAGGAACCCTGGCTTGGGCCCACAACACAGACCCTCCATCCTGGGGTGATTACATTAAGTAACTGCTAACTTACACCTCTCTGGGGTGGAGCCCCCAGGAGACAAGGAAAGTGGTGGAGCAGCAAGTCAGCTGATGTGGAGCCCGGAGGGCAGGGACAGCTATGTCTCTAGGCTCCACTTGCTCTTATGAGACACTTTATCCCAGCACTTTAGGAGTGCTGAGGTCAGACCAGCCCCATCTCACGTGCAAGATTGCCCAGCACAGATCAGGTCTAAGAGTTCTCTTCGTAAAAAAGGGGACTTGCTTAAAAAAGAAGTCTGGCCACGTTTGTGTAGAGCAGTTGTGCTGTGCTGAGGATTCACTTTTGAGAGAGTTCTCCTCTGAGACCTGATCTGTGCTGGGCAGTCTTGCACATGAGATGGGGCTGGTCTGACCTCAGCACCCCTTAGTCTGCTTGCCTCTCCCAGGACCCCAGCCAGGCCACACCTGCTTAGAGGGCACTTTCGGGTGCCCACACCATAGCTTCTGTACAAGCGGACCGTGCCTGATCAATGGAGAGCTGCAGCAAGGTGACCTCTACAGCCACGCACTAGCCTGCACATTACCTCTCCATACTGCAGCCCTTTATATGGAAACTTCCTACATCACTTTGCTGTGTGTGTTTACACAGGTGGGTTTTGTTGTACTTGCCCTAACAGCATATGGGAATGCAGCACACACCCCAACCCACACGAACTGCCACTGAAGATGAAGCCATGGTGGGCACAGAACCAAAAACCCCACCCCTGCTAGCATCTCACCCTTGAGGTAATGCTGTGCAGAGGAAAAGGGACCTTCTTATACCCTGAGTGACCACTGTTGCTTGGGGGGGATCAAAGAAGGCACCTTCACTGGCCAGCCACCCACCCCAAACCAGCACTACCTCCAGTGCAACAGCACACACAGCAGGGGCCCCCTGGCCCACACCCCAGCTGTTTTGCCTCCACCACTGGGTGAATGCCCACAGGGAGGCAGGGACTTTTGCATCTGCTAGCATTCTGCCACAGCTGCCGCACTTTGGTCCCCTCAGTGCAGTGGACTCCAAACCTCGAGGAGCCAGAGAACAAAGTTGTGGCCCAATACAAGTTCCCCAGAGTTAAAGCACACAGTCCAAGAATTGGGAGCTGCATGTTGGCCCCTTAAAATCCTCCAAAAACAAAACCTGTTGGCTGAATCCACCTTACACCACAATCAAATCCTCAAGGTCATCAGATATAATAAAGGAAAAATACCCTGTCCAAACGTCAGCAACCTCAAAGATTGAAGATGGATAAGCCCATAAAGATGAGAAAAAGACTCTGTGCAAGAACACTGAAAACTCAAAAATTCAGCATGCCTTCTTTTCTCCAAATGACTGCATCAACTCTCCAGCAAGTGTTCAGAACTGGGCTGAGGCTGAGATGTCTGAAATGATACAAGCAGAGTTCAGGATATGGGTAGGAACAAAGTTCATTGAGTGAAAGAAGTATGTTGTAATCCAATACAAGGAAGCTAAAAATCATTGTAAAACATTGCAGGAAGTAACAGACAAAAGAGCAAGTATAAAGAAGAAAATAACTGACCTGACAGAGCTGTAAATCACACTAGAAGAATTTTCATAATGCAGTCACATGGTGATTGTGTGTGATTGCATTATGAATATTATTGTATGTGTGGGCACCTGAGAGTGCCCTGTAAGCAGGTGTGGCCAGGCTGGGGTCCTGGGAGAGGCAAGCAGACTAGGGAGGGCTGAGGTCAGACCAGCTCCATCTCATGTGCAAGACCATCCAACAGAATAGACCAAGAAGAGGAAAGAATCCCAGAGCTTGAAAACTGGCTTTCTGAAATAAAACAGGAAAACAAGAATGGGGGAAAAAAGAATGAAAGGGAATGAACAAAACATCTGAGATATATGGGATTATATAAACGATCAAATCTATGACTGATTAATGTACCTGAAAGAGATGAGAATGGAACCAACTTGGAAAACACATTTCAGAATATCATTCATGAGAATGTCCCCAACCTAGCCAGACAGGCCAACATTCAACTTCAGGAAATCCAGAGAACCTCAGTAAGATATGCCATGAGAAGATCATCCCCAAGACACGTAATCGTCAGATTTTCTGAGGTCAAAATAAAAGAAAAAATGTTAAAGGCAGCTAGGGAGAAAGGCAACATCACCTGCAAAGGGAATTCCATCAGATTTAGCAGACCTCTCAACTGAAACTGTACAAGCCAGAAAAGACATTCAACATCTCAAAGAAAAGAAATTTCAACCCAGAATTTCATGTCCAGCAAAATTAAGCTTCATAAGTGAAGGAGAAACAAGATCCTTTTCAGACAAGCAAATGCTGAGGGAATTCGTTATCACCAGACCTACCTTACAAGAGCTCCTGAAGGAAACACTAAATATGGAAAGAAAAGACCACCACCAGCCACTACAAAAACACACTGAAGTACACAGACAAGTGATGCTAAAAACCAACTACATAAGTCTGCAAAAAAGCCAGCTGACAGCATGACGACAGGATCAAATCCACACATACCATTACTAACCTTAAATGGAAATGGGCTAAATGCTCCAATTGAAAGACACAGGGGGCAAGCTGGATAAAGAACCAAGACCCATTGGAGTATGCCGTCTTCAAGAAACCCATCTCACATGCAGTGCCATACATAGGCTCAAAATAAAGGAATGGAGAAAAATATTTCAAGGAAATGGAAAACAGAAAAAAGCAGGTGTTGCACTCCTAGTTTCTGACAAAACAGACTATACCAATAAAGATTAAAAAAAAAAAAAGAGGGCTGGGCGCGGTGGTTTACGCCTGTAATCCCAGCACTTTCGGAGGCTGAGACGGATGGATCACAAGGTCAGGAGATCGAGACCATCCTGGCTAACACGGTGAAACCCTGTCTCTACGAAAAATACAAAAAATTAGCTGGGCATGGTGGCGGGTGCCTGTAGTCCCAGCTACTTGGGAGGCTGAGGCAGGAGAATGGTGTGAACCTGGGAGGTGGAGCTTGCAGTGAGCCAAGATCGTGCCACTGCACTGCAGCCCGGGAGAGACAGTGAGACTCCGTCTCAAAAAAAAAAAAAAAAAAAAAAAAAAAAAAAAAAAAAAAAAAACACAGAGAAGGAGATTACAAAGGTGGTCCTGACCTTTGATAAATCTCATTATTGCTTGATACCAACCTGGGCTATCTTTATTGCCCAAACCAATAGGATAATGTGCTGAGGTTAGGGAGCTTCTCCCCCGCAGATAATCCCTGATCTCCCAAAATTTGGTTGACATCTAAGGTTGATTGCCATACAACTCCTTTTCTGAAGTTTTACTTATTTCCAACAAGGCAAGTTTTCCTGCTTCCATGATGATGGAGAGCAGGCACCTCCTTTCTTGAGTTTCAGCTTGCTTCTGACAGGGAAGGTGAGTGTAAGTTTTTTCCAGCTTCTAAGATGGCAGAGAACAATCACCAGCCTGAGACTTATTTCCAGGTAAGTAGCTGAATTAGAGTTTTGTCTTAAAATTTTTCCTTAATGACTAAAATTTAAGATTACTCACCAGCTGCTTTTAATTTCTCCTTACCATTAGAACACTCAGTAATCATATGAATTGTGCATTTGTTTGTTTTGCTTAACTCTTTTTGTTTGTTTATGTTTGGGGTTTTGTTGATGTTGTTTCACTTTTCTCCCATCTCTTCCTGACTTGGTCAGATCCAAAGAATGCTCCAAATTGTGGGGAACAAGGCTTCTGAATTGGCTAAAACTCATGTGGCTGCAAAAAAAAAAAAAAAAAAAAAAAAAAAAATCCGTTAGCAGAAATGATTTTTTTTAACTTTTTTATTTTTTTTTTTTACATAAGTGGTTGCATCTTTTGCTAGCCAAGGCCAAACTGAAGGAGTAGTGGTGGCGACCCAAAGTTAAGATTCTGCCCTGTTCACTACAGAAACCTGAGTTTGGTTCCTAAGTCTAGTTCTTTCTGTTTGATATTTGTGTTATTTTTAAAATATCAGCAGTTTGTCCCAGCTATGATGTGGTAGTAAAAGATTCAGAAGTATTTTCTTTACAAGTTCTATGATGAAAAGCTTAATTAAAAGCAAATTTATTTTTTTAAAATTATACTTTAAGTTCTGGGGTACATGTGCAGAACATGCAGGTTTGTTACATACGTATCACATGCTATGGTGGCTTGCTGCATGCACCAACCCATGATCTAATGCCATCCCTTTTCTAGCCCCCCACCCTGACAGGCCCTTGTGTGTGATGTTTCCCTTCCTGTGTCCATGTGTTCTCATTGTTCAGCTCCCACTTATGAGCGAGATCATGTGGTGTTTGGTTTTCTGTTTTTGTGTTAGTTTGCTGAGAATGACAGTTTCCAGCTTCATCCATGTCCCTGCAAAGGATATGAACTCATCCTTTTTTATGACTGCATAGTATTCCATGGTGTATATATGCCACATTTTCTTTATCCAGTCTATCATTGGTGGGTATTTGGGTTGGTTCCAAGTCTTTGCTGTTGTGAACACTGCCGCAATAAGCATACGTGTGCATGTGTCTTTATATTGGAATGATTTATATTTTTTTGAGTATATACACTGTAATGGGATTGCTGGGTCAAATGGTATTTCTAGTTGTAGATCCTTGAGGAATCATCACATTGTCTTCCACGATGGTTGAACTGATTTATACTCCCACCAACAGTGTAAAAGCATTCCTATTTCTCCACATCCTCTCCAGCATCTGTTGTTTCCTGATTTTTTAATGATGGCCATTCCAAGTGGCGTAACATTGTATCTCATTATGGTTTTGAATTCCATTTCTCTAATGACCAGTGCTTTGCTTCACATGTTCGTTGGCTGCATAAATGTCTCCTTTGGGAAGTGTCTGTTCGTATCCTTTGCCCACTTTTTGATGGGGTTGTTTGTTTTTTTCTTGTAAATTTGTTTAAGTTTTTATAGATTCTGCGTATTAGCCCTTTGTCAGATGGATAGATTGCAACAATTTTCTCCCATTCTGAGGGTTGCCTGTTCACTCTGATGATAGTTTCTTTTGCTCTGCAGACATTCTTTAGTTTAATTAGATCCCATTTGTCAATTTTGGCTTTTGTTGCCATCTCTTTTGGTGTTCTAGTGATGAAGTCTTCGCCCATGCCTATGTCCTGAATGGTATTGCCTAACACAAGGACATTTCTGTGCCTGAATGCCATATCTCCCAAAGTAATTTATAGAATCAGTGCTATCTCCATCAAGCTACCATTGACTTTCTTCCCACAATTAGAAACACTACTTTAAATTTCATATGGAGCCAAAAAAGAGCTCGCATAGCCAAGACAATCCTAAGCAAAAATAACAAGCTGGAGGCATCACAGTACCTGACTTCAAACTATTCTATAAGGCTACAGTAACCAAAACAGCATGGTACTGGTACCAAACCAGATATATGGACAAATGGAACAGAACAGAGGCCTCAGAAATGACACCACACATCTAAAACCATCTGATCTTTGACAAACCTGACAAAAACAAGCAATGGGGAAAGGATTCCTTATTCAATAAATGGTGTTAGGAAAACTGGCTAGCCATATGCAGAAAACTGAAACTGGGCCACTTCCTTACACTTTATACAAAAATTAACTTAAGATGGATTGAAGAGTTAAACTTAAGACCTAAAACCATAAAAAACCTAGAAGAAAACCTAGGCCACCAAACTCAGGAGAAATGTACTTGTAGTGAAATGCATGGTACAAACACACATTCCCTGCTTCCTTAAGTGGATGAGGTTGGAGGCTGGTCCACCTGCTCCAGGTGGATCCTTGCAGAGATGGCCGGTTGCTCTTTGAGCCAGCTTGGCCTTGCCTGGCATGCACAAGCCTCAGTGCAACAACTGTGTTACAAATGGAGCCACACAGAAAATGACCAGCAGGCTCAGTAGCAGGGTGTACATTGCCTTTGGGGCTCCAGTCCATGCCTCAGGGCTCATATGGCACTTTGGGCTTCTTGGTTGCCAAGAGGCAGATCACAGGCCATCTTGTGGAGGACTTTATGTTCAAGTGCAGAAAGCAGCCAGGATTACAACCTAGGGGACTCAGGCTTCTGTGACCCTGGCCAGACTTAGAATTTGGTCCCAGGCATGACACGCTCACTCAGAGCAGCGTGTCAGTACCTGGGGCCTGTGCATGCCAGGCAAAGCCAAGCTGGCTCAAAGAGCAACCAGACACCTCTGCAAGGGTGTGCCTAGAGCAGTTGGACCAGCCACCAATCTCACCCCCTCAACGAAGCCAGGATGGCCAGGTTCCCACAGCCTGAGTGGCTGCCACCTGATGGCTGATGGAGCAGAGGCCTGAGGAAAAGCAGATGGCACTGGGGCCCTACCTTTAGGGTAGAAGAACTGAGGTACCATGTCCGGCAGCGAGTGATGTTCGTGGCTGGTCCACCTGCTCCTGGCACACCCTTGCAGAGGTGGCTGGTTGCTCTTTGAGCCAGCTTGGCCTTGCCCAGCATGCACAAGTCTCAGTGCAACAACTGTTCTACAAATGGAACCACACAGAGGACATTAGAGGCAGGCTCAGGAGCAGGGTGTACACTGCCTTTGGTGCTCCAGTCCATGGCTCAGGGCTCGTATGGCACTGCGGGCTTCTTGGTTGCCAAGAGGCAGACCACAGGCTGTCTTGAGGAGGACTTTATGTTCGAGTACAGAAAGCAGCAGGATTACCACCCAGGGGACTTGGCGTTCTGTGGCCCTGACCAGACTTAGAATTTGGGCCAAGGCAGGACAAACTCACTCACAGCAGCATGTCAGTAGCTGGAGACTATGCATGCCAGGCAAGGCCAAGCTGACTCAAATAAGAACCAGTCACCTCTGCAAGGGTGCACCTGGAACATGTGGAGCAGCCACCAACCTCAGCTACTCAAGGAAGTAGGGATGGCCAAGTTCCCACAGCCTGAGTGGCTGCCTCCTGATGGCTGATGGAGCAAAGGCCTGAGGAAAAGCGGATGGCACTGGGGCCCTACCTCTAGGGTAGAAGAACTGATGTGCTCTGACCTGCAACAAGTGAGTTTGGTGGCTGCTCCACCGGCTCCTGGCACACGCTTGCAGAGGTGGCTGGTTGCTCTTTGAGCCAGCTTGGCCTTGCCTGGCATACACAAGCCTCAGTGCAACATCTGTGCTAGGTATGGAGTCACAGAGAGGAAATGAGCAGCAGGCTCAGGAGCAGGGTGTGCGCTGCCTTTGGGGCTCCAGTCCATGCCTCAGGGCTCGTGTGGCACTGCAGCCTTCTTCGTTGCAAAGAGGCAGACCACAGGCCATCCTGAGGAGGACTTGATGTTCAAGTGCAGAAAGCAGGCAGGATTACCACCTAGGGGACTCTGCCCTGGACAGAGAGAAAATTTGGGCCAAAGCAGAACAATCTCACTCAGAGCAGCATGTCGGTAGCTGGGGCCTGTGTATGCCAGGCAAGGCCAAGCTGACTCAAAGAGCAACCAGCCACCTCTGCAAGGGTGCACCTGGAGCAGGTGGAGCAGCCACCAACCTCACCCACTCAAGGAAGTAGGGATGGCCAGGTTCCCACAGCCTGCATGGCTGCGTCCTGATGGCTGATGGAGCAGAGGCCTGAGGAAAAGCAGATGGCACTGGGGCTCTACCTCTAGGGTAGAAGAACTGATGTACCCCGACTGGCTGCGAGTGAGGTTGGTGGCTGGTCCACCTGCTCCTGGCACACCCTTGCAGAGGTGGCTGGTTGCTCTTTGAGCCAGCTTGGCCTTGCCCGGCATGCACAAGCCTCAGCACAACAGTGGTCCCACAAATGGAGCCACATAGAGGAAATGAGCAGCAGGCTCAGGAGCAGGGTGTGCGCTGCCTTTGGGGCTCCAGTCCATGCCTCAGGGCTCGTGTGGCACTGTGGGCTTCTTCGTTGCCAAGATGCAGACCACAGGCCATCTTGAGGAGGACTTTATGTTCAAATGCAGAAAACAGCCAGTATCACCACCCAGGGGCTCTGCCTTCTGTGGCCCTGGCCAGACTTAGAATTTGGCCCCAGGCAGGGCAAGCTCACTCGGAGCAGTGTGTCAGTAGCTGGGGCCTGTGCATGCCAGGCAAGGCCAAGGTGGCTCGAAGAGCAACCAGCCACCTCTGCAAGGGTGCACCTGGAGCAGGTGGAGCAGCCACCAACCTCACCCACTCAAGGAAGTAGGGATGGCCAGGTTCCCACAGCCTGCATGTCTGCGTCCTGATGGCTGATGGAGCAGAGGCCTGAGGAAAAGCAGATGGCACTGGGGCTCTACCTCTAGGGTAGAAGAACTGATGTACCCTGACTGGCTGCGAGTGAGGTTGGTGGCTGGTCCACCTGCTCCTGGCACACCCTTGCAGAGGTGGCTGGTTGCTCTTTGAGCCAGCTTGGCCTTACCCAGCATGCACAAACCTCAGTACAACAACTGTGCTACAAATGGAGCCACACAGAGAAAACAGAGCAGCAGGCTCAGGAGCAGGGTGTGTGCTGCGTTTGGGGCTCCAGTCAATGCCTTGGGGCTAGTATGGCTCTGTGGGCTTCTTGGTTGCAAAGAGGCAGACCACAGGCCATCTTGAGGAGGACTTTATGTTCAAGTGCAGAAAGCAGCCAGGATTACCACCCAGGGGACTCTGCCTTCTGTGGCCCTGACTGGACTTAGAATTTGGCCTAATACAGGACAAGCTCACTCAGAGCAGCATCTCAGTAGCTGGAGCCTGTGCATGCCAGTCAAGGCCAAGCTGTCTCAAAGAGCAACCAGCCACCTCCGCAAGGGTGTGCCTGGAGAAGATGTAGCAGCCATCAAACTGACCCACACAAGGAAGCACGGATGGCCAGGTTCCAACAGTCTGACTGGCTGCCACCTGGAGACTGATGGAGCAGAGGCCTGAGGAAAAGCAGATGGCACTGGGGCCCAACCTCTATGGGAGAAGAACTGATGTGCCCCAACCGGCAGCGTGTGAGTTTAGTGTCTGCTCCACCGGCTCCTGGCACACCCTTGCGGAGGTGGCTGGGTACTCTTTGAGCCAGCTTGGCTTCGCTCGGTATGCACAAGCCTCAGTACAACAGCTGTGCAAATGGAGCCACACACAGGGAATTAGCAGCAGGCTCAGGAGCAGGGTGTTCACTGCCTTTGGGGCTCTAGTCCATGCCTCTGAGCTTATATGGCACTGCAGGCTTCTTGGTTGCCAAGAGGCAGACCACAGGCCGTCTTGAGGAGGACTTTATGTTCAAGTGCAGAAAAAAGTCAGGATTACCACCCAGGGGACTCGCCTTTCTGTGGCCCTGGCCAGACTTAGAATTTGGCCCCAGGCAGGACAAGCTTACTCAGAGCAGCGTGTCAGTAGCTGGGGCCTGTGCATGCCAGGCAAGGCCAAGCTGGCTCAAAGAGCAAGCAGCCACCTCTGCAAGCATGCTCCTCATGCAGTTGGACCAGCCTTTAACTTCACCCACTCAGAGAAGCATGGATGGCCAGGTTCCAACAGCCTGAATGGCTGCCACCTGATGGCTGATGGAGCAGAGTCCTGAGGAAAAGCAGATGGCACTGCTTTGTAATGCCCTTCTTTGTCTCTTTTGATCTTTTCCATTTAAAGTTTGTTTTATCAGAGACTAGGATTGCAACCCCTGCTTTTTTTTTTTTTTTTCCTTTTCATTTGCTTGGTAAATATTCCTCCATCCCTTTATTTTGAGCCTGTGTGTGTCTTTGCATGTGAGATGGGTCTCCTGAATACAGTACACCAATGGGTCTTGAGTCTTTTTCCAACTTGCCAGTCTGTGTCTTTTTACTGGGGCATTTAGCCCAGTTACATTTAAGGTTAATATTGTTACATGTGAAATTTATCCTGTCATGATGTTGTTAGGTGTTTATTTTTCCCATTAGTTAATGCAGTTTCTTTATAGTGTCGATGGTCATTACAATTTGGTATGTTTTTGCAGTGGCTCATACTGTTTGTCCCTTTCCATGTTTAGTGCTTCCTTCAGGAGCTCTTGTAAGGTAAGAATGTGGATTTATTTCTTGTAAGGCAAATATGTGGATATATATCTGGGTGCTGTATTCTATGGCCTCTACCCCAAGAGTCATTACTTTTAAAAATGCAATTCAAATTAGCATAAAACATTTACAGCCTAGGGAAAGGCTTATGACATTAGAATCCTTATTTATAGGATTATTTTGTGTTTTTTTGAGATATGGTCTCTGTCTGTCATCCAGGCAGAAGTGGAGTGGCTTGGTCATAATTCACTGCAGCCCTGAACTCTGAGTCCAAGCCATCCTTGTGCCTTAGTCTCCCAACTAGCTGGATCTACAAGCATAAGTCACCATGGCTGGCTAATTTAAAAAAAAAAAAATTTTTGTCGAGATTATGTTATCACTATGTTGCTCTGGCTGGTTTCAAATTCCTGGCCTCAAGTAATCTTTCTGCCACAGCCTCCTATAGTGCTGGGATTACAGGCATGAGCCACCATGCCTAGCATAGAGTATTACATTATTTTCAAAGTCTTATTCTAAGAGCCATTTATTGACTTTGGCCTAAATAACTCAATATTATATCTCTGAAACTTTTTTTGACAAATTTTGGGGCATGATGATGAGAGAAAGGGGTTTGAAACTTTCTAATAAGAGTTAACGTAGAGCCATTTAAGGAGGAACAGACACAAATTATCAGAAAAATAAAAGAAAGATCAAGTGCAAAAGTTCTGTGGCAAAGATGATGATAGTAAAGAGTATATGTGACTTATGGTGGCTTTTACTTTGTTCTTGAATTTCTGAGTAATTTAAGGGTTAACATTTAAAGAATCTACATTATAGATAACATTTTATTGCAAGTAAATGTATTTCAAAATTTGTTATTGGTTTTGTATGAGATTATTCTCAGCCTACTTCATTTTCAAGCTATATTATTTTATTAATGTAGTTTGATGATCTTACAGCAGAGCTGGAAGCTGTATCTTCAAAATATGTCTGTTTGACTCAAAACAAGGTATTCAACAGGAGTTATTATGTATGAAAAAATACAACAGGAATGTAAAAAACTTGAGGCTAAAAAGATGTTGGAAGAAGTAATATTAAATCTTAAAAAACGTATGGAAAGTACACATTGGTGAAGACACATTGGTGAAGTACAAAAATATAAATTGGATCTAGAAGAAAAGGCAATGCAGGCAATGGAAAAATTAGTACAAATCCCTTTACAGGTTAGTTTGTAAAATCAGGTAAGTTTATTTATAATGTGCTTTCATTTATTTCACTGCAAATTATATTTTGGAGATTATATATATATATATATATATATATATATATATATATATATCGTGTTTTCTCTGCCTCTCTTGTAGTAATTTGCCTTGTGGAGTTCTAGCAAAGAGGTGGCATCTGTTTTTACTTTTATATGTTTAAATTTCCATCATTATAACAAAATCGATTTTTCACAGTAATGATTCTCAGTGTGGAGTCATTTGATTATTAAGACCCATTGACATGAGATTACATCCTCTGCCTATAAAAATCCTGGAAGAAAACCTAGGAAATATTCATCTGGACATTGCACTTGGCAATGAATTTATGGGTAAGTCCTCAAAAGCAATTGCCAGAAAAATGAAAATTGACAAGTATGATTTAATTAAACTAAAGAGCTTCTTCTACACAGCATGAGAAACTCTCAAGGGATTGAACAGACAGCCTACAGAATGGAAGAAAATATTCACACACTATGCATACAGCAAAGGCCTATTATCCAGAAGCCATAAGAGACTTATGCAAATCAACGAGCAAAAAATAAATAACCCCATTAAAAAATGGGCAAAGAACATAAACAGACAGTTTTCAGAAGAACACATATGTGGCCAACAAACATATTAACACATGCATACCATCACTAATCATCAGAGAAATGCAAAACAAAACAGCAGTGAAATACCATCTCACACCAGTTAGAATGACTTCTGTTAAAAAGGAAAAATAATAAAAATATTTAAATATTTAATATTAAAATATCATTTAGATTGAGATAAATTAATTTGTCATTATCATTAATTCTCAAAACATGGATATTTAAGAATAAGCTTACTTCACATGTAATAACAACTACCTTAAAAACTAAAAGCTGGGGCCTGGTATGGTGTCTCAAGTCTGTAATCCCAGCACTTTGGGAAGCTGAGGTGGGCCGATCATGAGGCCAGGAGTTTGAGACAAGCCTGGCCAACATGGTGAAACCCCGTCTCTACTAAAAATACAAAAATTAGCTGGGCATGGTGGTGGGCACCTGTAATCCCAGCTACTCAGGAGGCTGAGGCAGGAGAATTCATTGGAACCCTGGGAGGCGGAGGTGGTTGCAGTGAGCTGAGATCACACCATTGCACTGCAGCCTGGGCAACAGGGCGAGACTCCATCTCAAAAAAAATAAATAAAATTAAATGAATAAAAACAAATAAATAAAAGCTGGAAGTTCTATGAAAACAATGCACATACCATTTTTATAAAATGTTCATGGTTTCTCTAGAGATTTCAATACCTATTCTAGCTTATTACAGTAACCTATAATTTGTACTATACCAACTATGGTATAAAAACCTTAAAATGTATATTTCTGTTTCCTCTCTCCTTTATACTATTTATGTCATGCATTATAGTCTCAAATATTATGAATTCCATAATATAAAGTTACTTTTTTTAAAAAAATTAGACAATCAATTATCTTTAGAGCAATGTAAAATAATTGGGTTATATATCTTTATATCTTCTCTGGCATTATTTATTTCTTTGTGTAGTTTCAACTTTCACCTGCTTCCATATTCCTTTTGCCTCAAGAAATGATTTTGACATTTATTTTAGTGCATACCTGTTAGCAAGGGACTCTTCCAGTGTTAATCTGAAAATGTCATTTAATTGTTATTTTTGCTGTATTACAGTTAATGGATATAAGATTGGGGGTTGACTTTTCTTCAGTTATTTAAGAATTTTGTATCATTGGTTTCTGACTTGTAGAGTTACTGACAAGCAGTTCATTATAATGTTTGTTTCTGTTTATCTCTCTACACAGTGTTCCTATTTTTTCTGTGACTGAATTCAAGATTTGTGGTAATCATTGGTTTTCAGCAGTTTGACTAGTGTGATTATTCTAGCGTTCTTTAAATTTTGTATTAATCTTTCTTGGATATTTTGAGGTTATTTGGTCTCCTTAGTCATCTTTTTCAAATTTTTCTTCTCTCACATTCTGTTTTTACTTTCCTTCTGTAATTCCAATTAATTATATTTTAGTTAATTTCATATTACCAGAAAATTCTTGGATTCACTGGAGTATTTTATTTGCTTGGTTTATTGGTTTATTTGGTTTTTCTCTTTCCTCCCTTTGTGCTACCATTCAAATGATTTGTATTGACCTAGTATAAAATTTACTGCTTCTTTCTTTAACTCTGATGACCAGTCTGCTAATCAGCTTGCTGATGTAATTCATCTTTGTTCTCATGCTTTCACTTATTTCTAGATTTTGCCTTTTACTGTTCCCATCTTTGCTGAAATACCTCATTTTTCCATACATGTTGTATTTTTTAACTAGATCCTTTAACATTTTGATCATTATTATTTTAAATTACTTGCATTTAGTTCCAACATCTGAATTATCTCTGAATTTGATTCTGTTGACTTTTTATCCTTTGAAAATATTATAACTCATAACTCAAATTTCTAACTTGCTTTTATGTGTCTCCCAATTTCTAAAAAATGCAAATCATCTGATGTAGAAAAACAGTAGATCATGAGATAATTATGTCGAGATTGTTTTATATTTCTCTTTCATTTTTATGTCATGCTATTAGTGTGGGCAGGAACAAAGGTTGCTTTTTGCTGCGGTGTCTGAAACATTCAGTGACCAATGTAACTCAGATTTCTCCAGCACTAGGCTGCTATGTGATGTGCCTTGTGTGGGGCCTTAGACTCTGGAGAGCATATGCCAATGATCCTGTTCCACAGTTAGCTTTCGGTAGTCCTTACCACCTATGTTATAGAGAGGGTCTCTCTCCACTTTCTTGTTCCTCTCTAACTGTAGAACATCATTTTGTGTGTGTGTGTGTGTGTGACTAGGCAAAAAATTCAGGTTGGGGACAGAGGGATGATTCATGTTATTTTTGAGCCAGTTTCATCATTGGACACTCACAGAAGGGGTATTTTTAACACTTCTTGACTCTTATTCTAGTGGGAGTCAAACTGTCACTTACCTGTGTTGTTTTTTGCAGAAGAAATAATAACTTACCCTCCTCCCACCTCAGTAGTAGAAAACCTCTGATTTATATCATTGCAAGTTTTCAACCCCACAATAAGGACAAACTCTTTTATTTCTCCTTCCATAGGAACAATATACCTTTGTCTGTGGTCACTGGATGGAGACTTTCCAAACCTTTACCACAGTAGCACGACTCTGCATTAGTGCAAAATCCTGGGCCCCAAAACAATCCTTGTTCCTCTCCTGATGGAGGAGTATTTTTCTTGCATCCCTCTCCCAGAAGCAGTGATCCTTTGCCTGGTATCAGGTGGGGTAGGGTAGGGTATGAGAGGTTTCTTAACCTTCTCTGAAAGCTGATGTGTTTTGCTTCTTCTTATCTCCCAGAAACAGTAGACTTTTGCATGGGTTCATGGACCCAGATGCTTTTTTGCCACAGCAAATTAAGGGTTTTGATTCTTAGGAGAGAAGCAAATGTTCATGTAGTCAATTTTTTTCTTATTTATTTTTTGCTTTGTTTTCTTATTTCAGTAATGATGAGTTCAATATGATCATTATTTTCCACTTACACTGCTTGCAACTCTAATGTTTTGTTTTTGTTAGTCCCCCTTTGACAGTTCAGCACTAAATCAAATGCAGATAATCATCAGTTGTGTGAATAAAGTGTTTTTAATTGAGAACAAAATTGTTGATATAGACACAAATTTGGATATTATCCTACTTAGCACAATATGTCGCTGGTTCAAAATGTAAAAACCTCTTTAGGCTGAACAAAGAATGGTTCTTGGAACTATTGTCCCTTTTTGACAAATAAAATAAAACCCAATGCTTTTTATCTCATGGATAGATTATTAAAATAACTACATACCTGATCTTCATTTTATGTTCTCTCTCTTCAAGATATTCCTTCAAAACTACTTTGACTGATTAGTCTCTTTTGAATTATGTTAGACTCTGTATTTTCTCCACAAGCTCATCAGGGTAAATCCTGCCTTTACATTTTTTATAAAAATTCTCTTTTTTTTTCAAATCTTAGTTGAGCTGAAAGATTTCCACCAAATGTCTCCTATGCCAGAAAGCCTTATTTTACTTATCTCCCCTGTCCTCCTTGCTCAAGCTCATTTAGGAATATTTTAATTAAAACATTCATGCAATACTGTTTTTTAAAAAATCTGAACATATAGTATTTTCAATCTGAATACAAAATAGTGCTCTAATTTGAAAACAAGTTTTAGAAACAAATGTTTCTAGAAGGAGAATCAACAGTGTCATAAATATCATAATCCAATTTTCCTGTTTGTACTAAAACATTAGCAAATATTTATTGAGAAATTGCCATCTGCCTGAAAGTATAATGCTTTTGATGCACATTATATCATAAAAACTAGGTACTATTATTAGTAGTATCTTAAGAGTAAAAATATTGAGTCTTAGAGAAGTTAAGCAATGTGCCCAAATAGCATAGGGAAAGTTGGAATTCTGAAATTCTGACTATGCTGTGCGTAGGTTAGGAGAATCAAGGCTTGTCAAATGTAACTGTTAAGTCATTGTGGGGATACGGAGGCCTCTGATTGCTAGGGTCAATACACTTAAGCAGATCATGTCACTACTTAGTTAAATCTATTTCATTAAAGCAAAATTCCGTAAAGATTATTGGCACCAAAACTATTAATTTTCCTTCCTTCCTTTCTCTCTTTCTTTCCTTCCTTCCTTCCTTCCTTCCTTCCTTCCTTCCTTCCTTCCTTCCTTCCTTGTCTTTCTGTCTTTCTTTGAGACAGGGTCTCATTCTGTTGCCCAAGCTGGAGTGCAGTGGCACAATCATGGCTCACTGCAGCCCCAGCTTCCCCAGACTCCGGTGATCCTCCCACCTCATCCTCCTGAGTAGCTGGGACTACAGGCAGGCAAGCCACTATGCCTGGCTAAATTTTCTTTTTCTTTTTCTTTTTTTTTTTTTTTTTGTAAAGATTGGGTTTCACCATGTTGCCGAGCCTGGTCTGCAACTACTCAGCTCAAGCAATCCACCTGCCTTTGCCTCCCAAAGTATTGGGACTCCAGGTGTAAGCCACATGCCTGGCCAAAAATATTATTTAACAAGTTCAATTTAACTATTAGATTTTGGACAATGAGGGATAGAATTTTCTACATCATAAATCATCTTGTGTTCTTTATTTAAAGTAATATGTAAGGATTTCAATTTGATTCAAATATATTTATTAGCAAATTAAATGTCTTTTTCAGGATTCCAAACTTTTGTTGAAGACATAAATGTTAAATGATGTCACTAATTTTAATTAGACTAGCAGAAATGTACTCTGGTGTTTAATAACAATGACAGAATGGGCTATTAATTTTATTTTCTTTCCCTTTCTCCCTTTCCCCTTTTTAAAATATTTTACTTTTCAGGCTCTTTGGAATCCTGTAGATAGAGTTTTGGAGAATTAGACAAAACACTCACAGAAACTGCCAACCCTTGGATGAAATATATTATTACTGTGCTTTGGGATTAAAATAACTACAGTTTATAGAACTTTTGTACTGATACACAGACACTAAAAAGGGAAAGGGTTTGGATGAGAAGCTCTGCTATGCAACCAGGAATCTCAGCCACTCATTTCTGTCGGAGCTGCAGGAGCTCCCTGTAAAGAGAGGTTATGGAGTCTGTAGCTTCAGGAAAGATACTTAAAACCCTTCAGAGTTTCTCCATTTTTCCCAGAGTTTCCCCAAAAAGGTTATGACATTTTATAAGAATGCTTCACTTGTGAAAAACTAATATCAAAGTCTTCTTGTAATTTATATTTAAGGATAAATCTTTATCCCATGTTTAATTTATTTAGCTTACCCTGTAGCTAATATTTCATGCTGAACACATTTTAAATGCTGTAAATATAGATAATATAATTTATGGATCATTAATGCCTCTCTAGTAGTTTAGAGAAAATGTCAAAAGAAATGGCCCCAGAATAAGCTTCTTGATTTGTAAAATTCTATGTCATTGACTCAAGTTTGTATGTCATCTCAAAATATAAATATAGACATCTCAGAAAATATATTTGAAATAGCAAATTCCTGTTAGAAAAGAATAGTACTTAACTAGATAAGAATAACAAGTCACCATTATTTGAATTGTCTCCTATTAATTTTTGTTGTGTTGTGTTACTCATGTTTTACTTATGGGGGATATACATAACTTCTGCTGTTTTCAGAATTATTGTATGCAGTCAGTATGAGAATGCAATTTAAGTTTCCTTGATGCTTTCTCACACCTCTATTACTAGAAATAAGAATACAGTAATATTGGCAAAGAAAATTGACCAGTTCAATAAAATTTTTTAGTAAATCTGATTGAAAATAAACATTGCTTATGGCTTTCTTACATCAATATTGTTATGTCTTAGACTACCTTATGTGAAATTAAGGCTTTGAAATTCTAATTATGTGCAAATGTGTAAAATAGCATCACCTAACGCTATATAATATACTCTTTATTTCTATAATGTGATGGCAGGTTTATAATTCTGGAAAGATATACACAACATGAAATTTACCTTTTTAATCACTTTAAGTGCACAGTTTTGTGGCATTAAGTATATTTGCACTATTGTGCAACAGTCACCACCATAGACCTCCAAAACTTGTCTTCTTCTCCAACTAAAATGCTTTACTCATTGAACACCAACTTCCCATTCCTCTCCCTCTCCTTCCCCCTAGCAATCACCATTCTACTTTCTGTCTCTACAACTTTCACTAAGTAACTCATAGAAGTGGCATGATAGAATGTTTGAATTTTTCTGACTGGCTTATTTCACTTAGCATGTCTTCAAGTTTCATCTATTTTGTAGCATGTGTGAGAATATATTTTAAGGCTGAATATTATTATGTTGCCGTATATACCACATTTTGTTTAACCACTCATCCATCAATATTCACAAGGGCTGCTCCCTCCCTTTGATTATTGTGAATAATATTGCTAATGGACACGCTGCACAAACATCTGTTTGGTCCCTCTGCTCATTTATTTTGGATATGGATTTGCATTTTAATACAAAGGAGAAATTACACAGCTTTTTAAAAGTGTCCAGATAAAAAGGAGCACAACATCAGTAAAATATTAGAAAGTAGATTAGGGGGAAAAACAGGGAAGGAATTGAACCAAAAGTCAATAAGCTGCATAAGAGAGTTTCAAGAGGAGGAAAAAATTGACAATATTAACATAGAATTAAAGAGCGATAGGTAGATATTTAGAAAATTGTCTCATGTACTTATATGTCGCCTGTGAACTGATATTTACATTATTTTATTATTCCAGGTTTCCAAAAGTAAGTGCAATATGAGAGTTTCATGATGCTAAATAAACTGAAACATGCTATATATTTTGATATATTGTCCTTGAGAGGAGGCTGAGTGGTAATTAGTGCAATTTTAAATTATGATATGATAATGCAGTCAATCTGCCAAACTGACAAACAGTATATATACAATATGTATACATTTCTCGCAAAATTCAGTTTTATCATACAATTAAATTATGATTTAAAACTACCTGACAATTAATGGAGGAAAAAAATAAAACAACATTTGCATTAATATTACCATAATTTTGATATTATTGTAAATATCAAAATATGTACTTAGAGATAAACCAGCAAAAAAGAGAAACATTTGAAAACTACAAAACTACAAAATATTGCTAAAATAAATGAGACCTAAATAAATGGAATTTATGAGTCATAAATCTCTATATTGTTAAGATGTCTACTCTTCCCACATTGATCTATAACAATTCCAATCAAATCACAGCTGGATTTCTTATTTTAGAAATTGAGAAACTAAAATTCTGAAATGTACATCAATGGGTAGAGGACCTATAATGGCAAATTACTTTGAAAGGAAACAGTTACTTTGAAACCAGGTGCTGCTGGAGAATAAACAGCACCGGGATTCAAGACTTAGAACGTTACAGTAATACTTAAGACAATGTAGTACAAATATAGATATACACATGTATATCAGCTATCAGCTAATTTTTGATAAAGTTCTTAGACCATTCATGGACATAACATTTTCAACAAATGCTTCTGAAACAATTAGATATCCCAGTATATATTTGTGTGTATGTGTGAAGCTCAATACTTCACACCTGAGAGGTATGAGTGTGCATTACAAAAGAGAACTAGGAAGCTTTGAGAGTATTGGATATGCTCATTGTCCCCTTCATGGTGATTGTTTAATGGGCACATGTACATATCAAATTCATCTCATTTACACTTTAAATATTGGAAGTGTGTTTTATGTTCGTTAGACATGAATAAAGCTGCAAAATGTTACCAAATATTCACTTACTATGCTTTTATTCATTTTCCTCTCTCTATAAACCTTCAGATAGAAAATGCAGTTGAAAGATATTTCATAAAGGAAGAAAAGAAGTATGAATACAGGTGAGAGATATTACTGAGATTTTTTTTCAGTGCAATCCTGGTCTTTTCTGACTAGCAATATTTTTATGTGCAGAAGTAGTAGAAAAGATAAATATTTTGTACAGTAGAAAAACACATTATTTCTGTGCCGTGGAAGAGAGAACTCACAAAGATGACAGCTTCTGGCTATGTTGGATACTAACCAGTACTGTAAGTACCCAACGATCTGACTTTAACACTGGCTGTAAAGCTCCTTTAATGTTCCTTGCAAGGATTTGAACCTATTTACTGGAACCCTCATCGCTTATTGAGTTGAAAAACATTGTTGATATGTGTTTATCTTATATTTGCAGTAGAGTCATAATTTTACTTTTTAGAAAATTATATATTAAACAAAAAAAGACACATGAAATTGTATATTGTTTAATGTTTCAACTGTGATATCACTCCATATGCATATTTAAATTCCTATTTGATAAAGGATAGGAAATACAGAAAGAATTCTTGTGATAATAGCGAACACAGAACTGTTGAAAGGTGTTGAAGCTGAGCTGGAGAGAGTCACCAAGGCTGGCGCCAAAGCTGGCAAGGTCGGAGGGTTTCCTGCCTGGGCGGCACAGCTTGAGCTCGCCCTGCGTCACGAGTGGTGGAAACTGCAGACCCAGCTGGGCCCTGAGGTCTCTGCCTCAGCCTCCCGCCTGCTAGGAGCTGCGCTGAGGTCCCAGATAGGCGACGCTGGCGGGGTGCCCCTGAGCGAAGGCAGCCCATGTGTGGGACAGCAGCAGGAGACCAGGGTCCAGGGACCCACCTCCCACCGCGGGAACCTCGAGCCTCCCCTGGCACCCCTAGCTTGGTCCGCCTGGCCTCCGGAGCCCGGTGTGTATCCTGGTCATGGGGACGCCCACCAGGTGCCCGGGAGTCCCCCTCGGCCACAGCCTGCGGCTCCGCCGGCCCTCAAGCCCGGTGTGGGGACTCCAGCCCTGCCGCCTCTGCTCCCGCCAGGCTGGGACCTGTCCTCCTCCTGGGCGCCCGGCAGTAGGGGCGATGCACACTGCCCGCTGCCCTGCACAGCCTTTCGCCGCACATCCCCTCTCGCCCCTCTGCCCCGGGCCAGGACCTTCCTGGCCGCACAGAACCCACCTTCCTTCCCGTTGCAGAGCTGCTCCGCTTCCCCAAACCACAGGGAAAAACGGCAGATCTCCAACCAAACAGAAATCTGTGTGTGACTCCTCTGGTTTGATACTGCCAGTCCCCACATTTTCTTCCGGGTGTTTTCTTGGCAGAATGTGCCCAATGTTTGATGTTTCACCAGCAATGAGGCTGAAAAGTGACAGCAATAGAGAAACACATCAGGCTTTCCGCGACAAAGATGACCTTCCCTTCTTCAAAACTCAGCAATCTCCACGGCACACAAAGGACTTAGGACAAGATGACCGAGCTGGAGTGCTCGCCCCAAAATGCAGGCCCGGAGTGGGTCACCTCCTTAGGGCAGGCCCAGGCTTGTCCTGGCTGCCCCGGCGCCTTTCTCCTCACTCCCACCCAATGCAGGGGACCCCACAAACTCGGCTGTTGGGGCTCCCTGGTCCTCCCTCCACAGAAGCCACCTCCTGCCCTCCAAGCTGGGGGTCTCCTGGGGCGTCCTGGGCTGAGAGGGAAAGACGCCAGCTCCGCAAGCCGGGAAGGGAACACCGCCACATTGTTACACGCACACACCACCACACTGTCACATGTACAGACACACGGAGACATTACCACACGGACACACCGTCACATGGACACACTGGCACATTCACATGGACGGACACACAGACATACGGAGAAATCCACACGGACACACCACCACACTATCACAGGGACACACAGACACACGGAGACATCACATGGACACACCACCACACTATCACAGGGACACACAGACACACAAGAGACATCACTACACTGTCACATGGACACACCATCACAGGAACACACAAACACACTGCCACATGGACACTGCCACACAGAGACACACCGCCACACTGTCACATGGACACACCTCCACACTGTCAGACACCACCACACAGACACTGCCATGTGGACACAAGGACACACAGACATTGTCACATGGATACACAAACACACTGTCACACGGAGACATCACCATGCAGATACATGAACACACCACCACATGGACATAGCACCACACAGACACTCTGCCACACGGACACACCACCACACAGACACACCACCACGCTGCCACACAGAGACACCACCACATCATTGCCACATTTTCATGTGTCAGCTGGCGGTGTGGGCCCCACGACTCTGAGCTCTAATAGAGAAATTACTTAGGCATATAGTGAAGGCAAAATTTTTTTTTTCTGAGGCGTAGTCTCGCTCTGTCCCCCAGGCTGGAGTGCAGTGGCGCGATCTCGGCTCACTGCAAGCTCCGCCTCCCGGGTTCACACCACTCTCCCGCCTCAGCCTCCCGAGTAGCTGGGACTACAGGAGCCCGCCACCAAGCCCGGCCACCTTTTGGGTGTTTTTAGTACAGACGGGGTTTCACCTTGCTAGCCAGGATGGTCTGGATCTCCTGACCTCGTGATCTGCCCGCCTTGGCCTCCCAAAGTGCTGGGACTACAGGTGTGAGCCACCGCGCCTGGCCAAGAATTTCTTTCCATCTCCTGTGTTATTGCTTTGGCAGTGGAAATGCGCGTGGCCTCTAGAGTGGGTCCCAAGGTCATGAAGGCCTGTAAGGTGGAGGGCAAGGTCTCTCTTTCCAGGCTGGAATGGAGGAAGATGTGGTGGCCGAGGGGCTGCATGTCCTCCTCGCGGCAGGCCCCTGAGGACCTTTATCCTCCTGAGCTGCGAATGTCCCTCAGGGGTGTCTAAAGCGCTGGGTGGGGCCCTTATAGGCCTTACGAGCTCTGGCCAATTAGTGGTCCGTAAAACGCAGAGGTGAACACCATAGAACCACAGGTCCAGGAGAATTTTGCAAAAGCTCTGAGGATGCCCTTTTTTGTTCTCCCACTGCAAAATTGTTTTAAAAAGCAAAAAATCCAGCAATGTCCGGGGAAAGTCAATACTGAGTGTCAGCGCGGGATGCTGCTGCTGATACGGTCCCAGCGTCCTGGCCGAAAGTGGCCTCCTCGGGGACCGCATCTCCGCGCACCATGGCAGCAAACGCCAGCGGTTTGTGGGCGGATGGTGTCCCCGTGGCCATCCCCGCTCCTGAGTGCGGAAGGACAGACAGGAGCGGGGACTTCTGGGTGTTCCTGGTGTCAGCCAGCTTGACGCCGTTGTTCCTCCTGGAAATCCGGGATTTGGAGAAGCACCTGGTTCCTGATGGAGGCCGTGGGCCTCTTGGTCCCCGCTTACCAGGCAGCGGCGCCAGCCTAGTTCTCAGCCCCGTCCCCGATGGGCGCCGCCTTCCATCAGGCCAAAGACTTTCCTCCAAACTGCCCTTCTTGGGGCGGGGAAGCAGCATCCTGGGCCTCCCCTGGGGCCTGTGGTGCTGGCAGCAGCTCCACGTTGAGGTCGCCTGCAGCCCGCACTGCGGAGCACTGGAGGTTCCTGAGCCCGGTCTGGGGAGGCCAATCCGCAGGTGCCTGGTGCCCGGTGCCTGCCGCAGTCTCAAAAGCGCCTGGAGGTGACATCCAGGAGCACCACTGCACCACCCGCAGGGAGACCCACGGCGAGGCGCGCCCCCTAAAGCGGCCAAGGAAGAAGCAGAAGGATAGGAAGGCACCCAGAGCTTGGGGTGATCTCAGGCCGCGCGCCCCGACCAAGTTCCTGGTCTCCGGGAGGTTTTTTTTTAATTTCTTCCATATTATTATCTTTATTATTATTAACTTTTCAAGATGGATTAAAGACTTAAATGTTAGACCTAAAACCGTAAAAACCCTAGAAGAAAACCTAGGCAATACCATTCAGGACATAGGCATGGGCAAGGACTTCATGTCTAAATCACCAAAAGCAATGGCAACAAAAGCCAAAATTGACAAATGGGATCTAACTAAACTAAAGAGCTTCTGCACAGCAAAAGAAACTACCATCAGAGTGAACAGGCAACTTACAGAATGGGAGAAAAATTTTGCAATCTACCCATCTGACAAAGGGCTAATATCCAGAATCTACAAAGAACTTAAACAAATATACAAGAAAAAATCAAACAATCCCATCAAAAAGTGGGGGAAGGATATGAACAGACACTTCTCAGAAGAAGACATTTATGCAGCCAACAGACACATGAAAAAATGTTCATCATCACTGGCCATCAGAGAAATGCAAATCAAAACCACAATCCGGGAGGTATTGCCAAAGACGATGTGGGCTTTCTGGGCAATGTCCGGCCTGAGCTGGAGATTCTGGGACGCGGTCAAGTGGTCCTTTGGAGATTCCACGGCTTCGGATCCCTACTGCAGGATGCTCCGCTGTGTCTGACAGCCTCTGGCATTTTGCTGAGGGGTAACCTCGGAATGTATAGACATAAGAACACTGGGATGGCCCAGTCGTGCCCCAGGCATTCCCGCACACAGTGGTCGCAAAGGCAGGCGCTGAGACAAAGTGCCCAGTCGGCTTGGTGAGAGTTCTTTACAGGTTAGTGAAAGACTTGGTCCCGTGCTTGTGTTTTCTCATGTTTTCAGTTAACCTGCGGACGCCCAGGGGCTCCTCCATCTCCACCCTGTTCTCCTCGGGCTGAAGCCCAAAGTCCCCCATTTTCTCCTCAAACGGCTCACAGAGCCACTTCTGCAGGCAGGAGGACAGCGGTGGGCTCAGTGGCTGACCTGGGAAGCCACATCTGAAGGAACTGCTGGGTGACTATGGCCATAAGTCAATCAAAGCAGACTCCCTGGCTTGCTGCGCTACATTGATTTTGTTTTCATTTTTTAAAAGACGCAGAAGGGAGGTCCTAGGAAATTTGCCCAATGCAGATGCTGACAAGAGTGGTGACATGAAAAAGATTACCCAGAAGGAAAACAAGAGCTATTTTCTAAACATCTGAAATCTGTATAGGCTTTTGGAAAAGTGAAACTAGATGCAAAGCACAATGATATAATTCTGGCAATTTCCACTGACACAGAACTCAGTCAATCTGAATTAATCTAAGGGTTATAAGGAAAATGGCACTCCAAGAAGTATCTATTAACATCACTCAGCTGCTGTGAAATAGGCTTACAGACAACACGGAGTGTCAATTATCCAATGTTTAAAGTCAGTGATACAGATTGGACTACAATCTCTATGGCTCATAAAGTCTTCTTTAAAGGATTGACAGATGATTTATCTCATATGTAGACAATGATTCTCAGCAGTTAGCTAGCACAACTTGCTAATATCAATTGCTTGAGAAAATCAGATAATTGCTTGAGAAAATTAGGACATTGCTTGAGGATGTTAGGTAATTAAATAAATTACTTTTTTAAAGAATAGTTTAATGTTTTGGCAAGTAGACTTTAAAATAGATTGGTAATATTTTAAAGGCCACTTTTAAAGAAGTAGCAATATAACATGTGGAATTATGAAAAATAATAATGTTGGAAACAATTCAATTTTCTATCACAGATAATTTCACAAATATAGAAATACCATCTCAATAATTAGAAGAAGTAGCAGCAATTTCTGTCATTTTTATGCAAGTTACTCCTAGTCCATTTATCTGGTCTTAAATAGTGTTTTTAAAATTTGTTTTCAAACAAGTCTAATCATAAATAATAGAATATATTTTACAATAGTTGAAGGTAACAAAAAATAAGTGCTATTTAAAAAATTGTATTAGATTGTTTAAAAATGTTGTGGGTACATAGTATGTGTATGTATCTGTGGGGTCCCTGAGATGTTTTGATACAGGCATGTAATGTGAAATAAGCACATCTTGGGGAATGGGGTATCCCTCCCCTCAAGCATTTATCCTTCAAGTTATAAAAAATGCAATTACAGTCTTAGTTACTTCAAAATGTACCATTAAATTATTATTGGATATAGTCACCCTATTGTGCTATAAAATAGTAGGTCTTATTAACTCTCTATTTTTATACCCATTAACCATCCCCACCTTCCCACAAACCTCCCCCCCAACTACCTTTCCCAGCCTCTGATAACCATCCTTATACTCCATATGTCCATGAGTTTGTTTTGATTTTAGATTCCACAAATAAGTAAGAACATGTAACATTTGTCTTTCTGCGCCTGGCTTATTTCACTTAATATAATGATCCATAATGTTCCATCAGTGTTACTGACAATGACTGGATCTTGTTCTTTGTTACAGCTGAATAGTCCTCCATTGTGTATATGTACCACATTTTCTTTATCCATTCATCTGTTGATGGACACTAAGGTTTCTTCCACATCTTAGTTTTGTAAACAGTGCTGCAACAAATATGGGAGTGCAGATATGTATTTGACATACTGATTTCCTTCATTTTTGGTATAGACCCAGCAGTAGGATTGCTAGATCATATGGTAGCTCAACTTTTAGTTTATTGAGAAACATCCAAACTGTTCACCTTGGTGGTTTTATTAATTTACATTCCCAGGAGCAGTGTACAAGTGTTCCCTTTTCTCTGCATCCCTGCTAGCATTTGTTACTGCCTGTCTTTTGCATACAAGTCATATAAACTGTGGTGAGATGATATCTCATTGTAGTTTTGATTTGCATTTCTCTGATGATCGGTGATATTGAGCACCTTTTCTTATACCTGTTTGCCATTTGTAGGTCTTCTTTCGAGAAATATCTATTCAAATCTTTTGCCCCCTTTTTTTAAACCAGGTTATTAGATTGTTTCTTAAAGAGTTGTTTGAGCTTTTTATATATTCTGATTATTAATCCTTTGTTGGATGAGTAGTTTGCAAATATTTTCTCCCATTCTGTGGATTGTCTCTTAACTTTGTTGATTGTATCATTTTCTGTGCAGAAGCATTTTAACTTAATGTGATCCATTTGTCCATTTTTGCTTTGGTTGCCTGTGCTTGTCGGGTATTGCTCAAGATATTTTTGCCCAGACCAATGTCCTGGAGATTTTTTTATAGTTTGAGGTATTAGCTTTACATCTTTAATCAACTTTGATTTTACTTTTGTATTCGGTGATAGATACTAGTCTGTTTTCATTCTTCTGCATATGGATATCCAGTTTTTTCAACACCATTTCCCACCAGTGTATGTTCTTGGCACCTTTGTCAAAAATGAGTTCACTGTAGGTATATAGATTTGTTACTGGGTTCTCTATTGTGTTCCATTGATCTATGGGTCTCTTTTTATGCCAGTACCCTACTCTTTTGGTTACTATAATTCTGTAGTATAATATGAAGTCAGATAATATAATTCCTCCACTTTTATTTATTTATTTATTTTTGCTTAGGATAGTATTATTTCTTATACTGAAAGCATTCTATGTTATTTATTATTAGGCTAATTTTGTAGTTTACAATGCTATCCTCTTTTACAAAGCTGTGATCAACTCAAAGTCCAGATCAGGGTCAATTGTAGCTATTTGCAAAAGTAGCAATATTCTGGCTGGGTGTGGTGGCTCATGCCTATAATCCCAGCACTTTGTGAGGCCAAGACAGGCAGGTCACCTGAGGTCAGAGGTTCAAGACCAGCCTGGCCAACATGGTGAAACCCTGTCTCCAATAAAAATGCAAAAATTAGCCAGGGATGATGGCAGATGCCTGTAATCCCAGCTACTCAGGAGGCTGAGGCAGGAAAATCACTTGAACCCGTGAGGTGGAGGTTGCAGTGAGCCCAGAATGCACCATTGCACTCCAGCCTGGGTAACCAAGTGTGACTCTGTCTCAAAAAAGAAAAAAAGCACTATACTGTGTAATTATTGACAGCATAATTCACTATTATGTGGATCAGAGAGCAGAGGATTCTGAATGCATGAACATATCTTTAACATTTCAATACATTACTCATAATTACTAATGAACTAAAGAGAAACCAAGAAATTATGGTGGTAGTTATATTGACCTGGAGAAATGTAGACACAAAAGAATGGTAAGATGAGAAATGTGTTAACACAGGCTATAAGGGCATGCAAGAATAAAAATAGGGGAGAAAACAGGAGAGTTTTTCAAGAGCTTTCTGGTCATGTAAGTCAATTTGTATCAGTTAATTTTTAAAAGGTTTATTTACATGCAATAAACTGCACATACTTCAATTGTACATTTTGATAATTCTTGGCATTTGTAGCTCTACAAAACCAACAACATATTAAAATAGCAAACATACCCATTACCTTTACCACCAAAGTTTCCTTGTGCTTTTTCTACTCACTTTTTCCTGCCTATCCCCATTCCATCCACAGGCAACCACTGATCCACTTCCAGTCACTATCCATGAGTTTTTATTTCCAAATACATAAAATCATAGGGTACGTATACTTTCTGATCACTCAGCATCACTATTTTTGAGATTTATTCATGTTGCTACATCTATCAATTGTTCTGTTCTTACTAGGGAGTATTATTTCATTATATACAGATACCATAGTAAGTTTATAAATCACAAATTCACCTGTCCATGGATATTTGAACTGTTTTCAGGTTTTGGCTGTTGCAAGTAAAGCTGCTATGAAGATTCATGTAAAATCCTTTGAATGGTCATATGCTCTTAGGTTTTCATCTCTACCGGAAGTGGAATAGATAGCTATATGGCTATCATGTCTGTAATATGCAAACACAAAGCCTGACAAAACTGATTTCTAAAGTGGAAATTCCACTGAAGAACCTTGACTCCAACCTGGCTTTTGAGATTATCTCCTATGTCTGGTGCAATGATTGGTCCTGGGGTAGCCACATGACCCAAGGGGGACCATGTTTAAACTTCTGAGTTTTCACTGAGATTAACATGCATTTGTTGAAAGAGAAACCCCTTTTCCCCTACTCCCCCAGCTGCAAATGCTTTCAGGGATTACATCATGTTGGAACATTTGGTTACAGTGTTTCCTAAACTTTGAGGGTAAAAATTGTTCAAGTAGGTAAAAATGGAGCACATACAAAGAAAAAAGGAGTCCAGAAATATCAAATAAAGAAAGGGCCTCCATAAAATCATTTGAACTTATGATTAATTCATTAGTCATTAAAATAAGTTTAGTGTACAAAGAATCATCCCCCCAACCACCCTTTATTCCTTCACCAGGTTTAAGTTACATTTTTTAACTTGCAAACAAAAGATTTGTCATTAACTTAGACATCAAAATCCCTTGTCTCCAAGAGCAATCATTCAACTCTGTCCCTCTCATTATTACAATAATATGTTCACTTTATTCTGCATACACCTGCTCTTTGCCCTTGTCTCCCTATTCTATTCTGTTAAAGTTATATCCAGACATTTATTTCATTTTATATCAAAGAAACTGTATACATGTTTTTAATCTTAGAAAAATTTCTGAGTAATCTTTTGTCTCATATTCGATTCTAAGCCACCCAAGAAGCATTATTTTTTCATTTAGCATTTTAACTTTTCTAACCCAGGACTTTTATAGTAGATATTATGTCTTTTTCTAAATGTCCTGCTTCAATTTACATTTTAAATCTAATTTTTAAAAAGTGTATGTTTTGAATATTAGCATCATGCATCTCAGGCCTAAATATCCCTTGATAACAAATATTGTCTTTTTTTCTCTACGTTTTTCACATATTTCAATAGGGAGATATATTGCCTGCAACAATAAAAGTTTTTGTCAATATAACATAACACATAGGCAAAATATTGTTTCCAAGTGATTGATGATGTGGTGCCTTCAGTCTAGTCCCAACCCCTCAATGTAATCATCCCTAAATCTAATGAAATATGAAATAAATATTTCATTTTGTTTCTAAAATTCAGCATAAAAATATATAGCCTGTCACATATAGCCTGTAACACCAACATATAAAAATGAAAGCAGTTCCTTCTCCACTCCCACTGCTTCACTTGACTAGCCTTAAAAAATAATAATAATAAAAAATAAAAGCAAAATTGTTCCTTTACTTATCTTTGAAATCTAATGGGTATACTATCAGAAAAGCTCTTATATATATGGAGGGCCTCTATAAAATATAGACTCTTAACTAGAAAAGTAGACTTATATGATAGTTAAATTTAAAACACAATTGTATATGGTACCTTCCCAAATGCACCAGTACTTATTTCAGAATGCATGATGTAATTGACTAAACCATTTAGGGCTAGACCTCTGAAATAAAAGGCATTCACACTTTGTGATTCCTGGGGAAAATATTATTCAAAATAGAAACATGCAGAACCTTTACCTGATCGTGATAAAAAAATGTTCCTACTTGTTAATATGCCACAGCTTTTACAAGGTCAGCAAAAAGAGATTATCCCATAATATAAGCTGATGGCCGAAATTATCTGCCTTACTTTAGTTACTATAATATCTATTAAGTGTAAATTTCTTTTGAAAGAAAACAGATACATTTTTCTCAGAAATGTCTTTAGATGAAGATCTAGCACATCTGTGTTTCTCACTTTTTAAAATGTTGATTTTATTGATAAATAAATATATATAGGGTACAATGTGGTACGATACATGTAAATATTGTGAAATGGACAAATTAGGCTAAAAAACATATCCTTCACCTCAGATATTTATTACATTATGGTGAAACATTTAAAATGTACTATTTTAGCACTTTTAAGATATGCACTACATTATAAGTGACTGCAGTCACTTTGCTGTGCACCATATCACCAGAATGTCTTTCTCCTAACTGAAGCATTATCCCATTGAATATTTCCCCTTTTTCCACCCCTGCCCCCCACCCTGCTCAGCCTCTGATAAACCACCATTCTACTCTTAACTTCTATGAGTGCACAGTTTTGGATTTCACATATAAGTGATATTAAGAGATATTTGTCTTTCTGTGTCTGGCTTATTTTACTTAGCATAATGTCCTCTAAATCCATCCATGTTTTTGCAAATGACAGAATTTCATTCATTTATAAAGATAAGCTGTATTTTTGTATGCATCCTACATATACTTTTAACTTTCCACAGCTTTATTGAGATATAATTTATACATTGTGTAATTCACTCATTTAAAGTACAAACTTCAAATTCTTTTAGTATATTAACTGGATGGACAAATAATCATCATAATATAATTTTAGAACATTTTAATTCTCCTTAAAAGAGACTTGCACCCATTAGCAATCTTCCCCATTTTCTCCAGCCTTTTTTAAACCCCTCCTAGTCTAGGCAACCACTCGTCTACTTTCTGACTATGAATTTGCCTATTCTGGACATTTCACATAAATGGAATCATAATAACACATAGTCACTTTTTACTCACATCTTTCACTTAACGTATTTTTAATGTTCATCCATTTTGGAGCATGCATTAACAGTTTTTTACCTTTTCTTGCTAAATAAGATTCTGTTTTATGGACACACCACATTTTATTTATCCACTCCTCGGCTGATGAACATTTCTGTTGTTTTCTACTTTGTGTTGCTATAAACATTTGTGTACTACTGTTTGTGTAGCATTTGTTTTATTTTCTTTTTGGTAAACACACAGAAGTGGAATTGCTGGGTCATGTGATAACTCTATGTTTAACCATTTGAAGAACTGCCAGACTGTTTTACATTTTAAAGTCTCACCAGTGGTGTAGAAGGGTTCCAATTTTTCCACATATTTTTATCCATTCTTCAGTTGATAAGCACTTAGGTTGTTTCTAATTCATGGGTATTATGAATAATGCTGCAACGAACATGAAATTGCAGATGTCTCTTTTTGACATACGGATTGAAATTCCTTTGGACATATATCCAGAAGTGGGATTGATGGATCATAGGGTAAATATACTTACAATTTCTTGAGGAAACTTCATACTGTTTTCCAAGATGGCTGTACTAATTTCCATTCCTACCAACAGTGTACAGGGTTTCTTTTTCTCCACATCCTCATCAACACTTATCTTCCGTCTCTTTTTATAATAGCCTTAGTAAAATGTGTGAGGTGATATCTCATTGTGGCTTTGATTTGCATTTCTCTGATAATTAGAAATGTTTTTGATTTTTTCATGTACCTGTTGGCCTTTTGTATGCCTTAGGAAATGTCTATTCTGGTTCTTTGCTTATTTTTTTAATAAGCATAGTTTTATTCTTATTTTTGAGTAGGTTGAGTTACTTATATATTATTATATGAGCCCTTTATCTGATGTATGGTTTAAAAATGTTATCCCATTTGTGGGTTCTCTTCATTCTATTATCGCTTCTTTTCCTGTGGAAAAGCTTTTTAGTTTTATGCAATCTCATTCGTGTGTTTTTGCTTTTGTTGCCTGTGCTTTTGGAATAATCTACAGAAAATCATAGCTCAGGCCAATGTCATACAGTCTTCTTCTATATTTCCTTGTAGTAGTTTTACATTTAAGTCTTTAATTTTGATTTGATACTTGTATAAAGAGCAAAAGGAAAGTCAAATTTTATTCTTCTGTATGTGGATATTCAGTTTTTTCTACACCATTTATTGAAAATAATTTTCTTTCTTCATTGTGTATTTTTAGTCATTTTATCAAAAAATCAGTTGACCACAGACACACGGACTTATTTACGGGTTCTATATCCCTTTGCACTGTTCTACCTGTCTGTTTTTATGCCACTGCTATGTTGTTTTAATTACTATGGCTTTGTAATATAGTTTGGAATTGGGTAGTCTGATACCTCCAGCTTTGTTCTTTTTGTTCAAGATTGCTTTGGTTAGTCGGGGTCTTTTGTGGTTCCATACAAATTTTAGCAGTAATTTTTCTATTTCGGGGAATTTGATAGTGGTTGCATTTAATCTGTAGATTGCTTTGGGTAGCATTGACACTTTTACAATACTAATTTTTGAATCCATCAATAAAGGATGTTTCTCCATTTATTTATGCCATTTTAATTTTTTTCATCAATGTGCTATAGTTTTCAGTGTGCAAATCTTTCACATTCTTGATTAAATTTACTCCTAAGTCTTTTATATATTTTTATATCTGTTTTGATTCTATTATAAATTGAATTGCCTTATTACTTTATTTTTCAGGTAATAGTTTGTCATTAGTGTATAGAAACAATAATGCTAGCTGTATGTTGATTTTGTAACTATTAACTTTATTGAATTTCTTTATCAGCTTTAACCATTTATTTTGGTGGAGTCTTTAAGATTTTCTCTATCTTGAGTGCGCGAGGCGCGGGGAGCCTAGGACCTGGAGCGAGAGCCGCCTACCTGCAGCCGCCGCCCACGGCACGGCAGCCACCATGGCGTTCCTGCTGCGCTTCGTGCTCCTGTGCGGAGTCGCGGATTTCACCAGAAGTTTGAGTATCACTACTCCTGAGCAGATGATTGAAAAAGCCAAAGGGGAAACTACCTATCTGCCATGCAAATTATGCTTAGTCCTGAAGACCAGGGACCACTGGACATTGAGTGGCTGATATCACCAGCTGATAATCAGAAGATGGATCAAGTGATGATTTTATATTCTGGAAACAAAATTTATGATGATAACTATCCAGAACTGAAAGGCCGAGTACATTTTAAGAGAAATGATCTCAAATCTGGTGATGCTTCAATAAATGTAACGAATTTACAGCTGTCAGATATTGGCACAGATCAGTGCAAAGTGAAAAAAGCTCCTGGTGTTGCAAATAAGAAGATTCAGCTGGTAGTTCTTGTTAAGCCTTCAGGTACAAGATGTTATGTTGATGGATCAGAAGAAATTGGAAGTGACTTTAAACTAAAATGTGAACCAAAAGAAGGTTCACTTCCATTACAGTATGAGTGGCAAAAATTGTCTGACTCACAGAAAATGCCCACTTCATGGTTAGCAGAAATGACTTCATCTGTTATATCTGTAAAAAAAATGCTTCTTCTGAGTACTCTGGGACATACAGCTGTACATCAGAAACGGAGTGGGCTCTGATCAGTGCCTGTTGCGTGTAAACGTTGTCCCTCCTTCAAATAAAGCTGGACTAATTGCAGGAGCCATTATAGGAACTTTGCTTGCTCTAGTGCTCATTGGTCTTATCATCTTTTGCTGTCGTAAAAAGCGCAGAGAAGAAAAATACGAAAAGTAAGTTCATCACGATATCAGGGAAGATGTGCCGCCTCCAAAGAGCCGTACGTCCGCTGCCAGAAGCTGCATAGGCAGTAATCATTCATCCCTGGGATCCATGTCTCCTTCCAACATGGAAGGATATTCCAAGACTCAGTATAAACAAGTACCGAGTGAAGACTTTGAACGCACTCCTCAGAGTCCGACTCTCCCACCTGCTAAGGTAGCTGCCCCTAATCTAAGTCGAATGGGCGTGATTCCTGTGATGATTCCCGCACAGAGCAAGGATGGGTCTATAGTATAGAGCCTCCATACGTCTCATCTGTGCTCTCCGTGTTCCTTTCCTTTTTTGATATATGAAAACCTATTCTGGTCTAAATTTTGTTACTAGCCTCAAAATGTATCCAAAAATAAGTTAATCAGGAGCTGTAAGGAATATATTTTTTTAAATTTTTCTTTGGTTATATCGAAATAGTTACAGGCATTAAAGTTAGTAAAGACAAGTTTACCATCGGAAAAAGCTGGATTTTCTTTAAGAGGTTGATTATAAAGGTTTCTAAATTTATCAGTACCTAAGTAAGATGTAGCACTTTGAATATGAAATCATAAGTGAAGACATTGGTGAACTTACTTGCATACCAAGTTGATACTTGAGTAACCATCTGAAAGTGGTACTTGATAATTTTTACCATTATTTTTAGGATGTGTATCTCATTTATTTATGGCCCACTAGTCTCCCCCAAATTAGTACAGAAACATCCATGACAAAATTACACATGTGTGTTTGTACTTGTTTTCACAGCTCCTTGGAAAACTCTGTGTTAGGAATATCTCTAAAAACATAGAAAACTCTACAGTGGTTTAGAAATTACTAATTTTACTTCTAAGTCATTCATAAACCTTGTCTATGAAATGATTTCTTAAATATTTAGTTGATAGACTGCTACAGGTAATAGGGACTTAGCAAGCTCTTTTATATGCTAAAGGAGCATCTATCAGATTAAGTTAGAACATTTGCTGTCAGCCACATATTGAGATGACACTAGGTGCAATAGCAGGGATAGATTTTGTTGGTGAGTGGTCTCATGCCTTGAGATCTGTGGTGGTCTTTAAAATGGTGGCCAGCCAGATCAAGGATGTAGTATCTCATAGTTCCGGACTAAATACTGGCTTTCCACTTTAGGTGATATTTTTCTTATTAGAAAAATATTATAACTCATTTATTGTTTGACAGTTATAGATTGAAATTTCCTAATTCTAAATTTTAAGTGGTTCTTCAGTTTCAGTGCTTTATGTTGTTTGTTGTTGGTTTGGCATGGCATTACATATTATATGTTCTAGAAACATGTAATCCTAAATTTACCCTCTTGAATATGATCCCTTGATGATATTTTTATCATAAATGCAGAATAATCAAATATATTTTAAGCAAGTAAGTGTCCTCCATCAATTCTGTATTCCAGACGTGGGAGGATGTACAGTTGCTGTTGTGTGATCAAGCATGTCTCTGTGTAGTTCCAGCAAATCAAGCTGAGCTTTGAAAAAGTTTGAGTCTTAGTTTTGTGAAAGTGGTTTATTCTCAAAAAAAAAAAGAAAAAGAAAAAGAAAAAGAAAAAAAGATAAGAAGAAGGAGTAAAGGGACTACTCCTCCTTGCCAAATGTGCTAAATATCATTTTAGGAGAAGAAAGTGGATTTATTGTATTTCCCTTAAGATTGTGAGGGAGTGTGGATACAGTAGAATGAGCCAACAGTTTCTTTATAATAAATACGGTCTGCAATAAATTATTTCACTAGCTGTAAAACCTTTCCCTAGATTTTAGTAGGGAGTTGGTTTCTGTTAATATCTTTGGGTGCTGTGGTGGTAAATGCTACATTATAAACAGTGGCATGTATTTACAGTTAGAGTATTGTGTGTACACTTTTTAATGGTAAACTTAAGCTGAATGTGTAATGGATTTGTCTATAGTTTTACATATTTGGAAGCATTTTAAAATAGGTTTTAATCTTACATAAAATTACTTTTATACTTGTGTTAACATTTTCTTCTGTGCCTTTTGGGTAATTTAATTTCTGTTATGAATTTCTGGTGCCTATGAGCTAGCTATCACCTACCTGAAAGGTGCTTAGAGGTGAAGGTACTGTTTCTAAAAACACATCACTGTGACACCTTTCTATCCTCACATTTTCAAGCTTGCCTCTTTTCTGTTCTTTGTGGATATAACGTAAGTGATTGTGTTATTCATAAAGATTTAGAAATTTCAATATTCCCAACACTCTGACTATGTTTCTGATTTTATAATAGTAGCCATTTTTGAATGTCAGATGTTTGGCCTGTTTTATATGAATAAAGTTTATTTATAAAATATTATAAAAATAAGTAAACAGAACATTAATAATAAAAAAAGATTTTCTGTATCTTAAGATTATATTTTCAGAAAACAGAAACAATCTTACCTCTTCCTTCCCTATATGGATTTCTTTTATTTCTTTGTCTTGTGTAATTGATCTGGCTAGGCAATTACACATAATGTTTTCAGCATTTGTAATTTTACATCAAATCCATCCATTGTAACACATTGATTGCTACTTTTCAACTTGTAAACCTGGACATTTGTCACTACTCTTCCTCCAGTACAGGAGTCCATGGCGCGGTGTGGGCCCTGCTGTGCCACAGTCCAGGGCACGGCTGGGCGCAGGTTCTCTCCTGCAAGAGTCCGCGGCTCTGCAGAGCAAGAGTTCTCCAGTGCCTTAGTCCAGGGTGAGGCAGGGGTGAGGCTCCTTCAGTAGCTCAGTCCAGGACGCAGCCCTGCGAGGGTCCTCCTGTGCAGGAGTACACGATGCTGCGGGGTCCTACTGTGCCTTAGTCCAGGACGCCAGGGGGCTGGGTCCTCTGCTGCCATAGTCCAGGGCGCGAGGGGCTGGGTCCTCTGGTGCCATAGTCCATGACGCAGGGAGGCTGGGTCCTCTGGTGCCATAGTCCAGGATGCGAGGGGCTGGGTCCTCTGCTGCCATAGTCCAGGGCCCGAGGGGGCTGGGTCCTCTGGTGCCTTAGTCCATGACGCAGGGAGGCTGGGTCCTCTGCTGCCATAGTCCAGGATGCGAGGGGCTGGGTCCTCTGCTGCCATAGTCCAGGGCGCGAGGGGCTGGGTCCTCTGGTGCCATAGTCCATGACGCAGGGAGGCTGGGTCCTCTGGTGCCATAGTCCAGGATGCGAGGGGCTGGGTCCTCTGGCGCCATAGTCCAAGACGCCAGGGGGCTGGGTCCTCTGGTGCCTTAGTCCCGGTCGCGGGGAGCTGGGTCCTCTGGTGCCATAGTCCAGGGTGCGGTGGAACAGGAGTCCTGCGGAGCAGTAGTCCAGGGCGCGCTGGGGCGTGGATCCTCAGGTGCCACAGTCCAGAGCGCGACAGGGCGGGATTCCTGCCTTGCTATATCCAAGGTGCAGCGGGGCGGGGGTTCTCTTGTTCAGGAGTCCAGGACGTGGCAGAGCCGGAGTCCTCCTTGTAGGAGTCCTCCGGTGCTGGAGTCCAGAGCACAGTGAGGCTGGGTCCTCCCGTGCCATAGTGTAGGGCATGGCGGGACAGGGATCCTGCCCTGCGATAGTCCAGTGCTTGAGTCCGCAGTAAGGCAATGGTCCTCCAATGCTGGAGTTCACGGCGTTGTGGGGTCGGGGTCCTTTGGTGAATTAGTCCAGGGCGTACCAGGGCGGGGGTCCACAGTTGCCATAGTGAGGATCTTGGAGGAAGGTGGTTCCTGCCTTGCTGTAGTCCGGGGAGCAGGGGGCAGGGGTCCTCTCTTGTCAGAGTCTCTGGCGCGGGGTGGGGGTGGAGGTGGGGGTTTTCCTATGCGATAGCCCACGGGTCGGTGAAGCCGGGTCCTCCCGTGCCTTTGTCCAGGGCGCAGGGGGGCGAGGGTCTTCGGTGGTGGAGTCCGCGGAGCGGCAGGACGGGGGTCCTCCAGTGCCATATTCCAGGGCGCGGCGGAGTGGGGGACCTGTCCTGCAGTGGTCCAGGGCATGTGGGAGTGGTGGTCCTGCTGTGCCTCAGTCCAGTGCGCGGTGGGACGGCGGTCCTGCTGTGCTGTAGTGCAGGACGCGGTGGCGCAGGGGTAGTCCAGAGAGCGCCGTGGCAGGGGGTCCTCCAGTGCTGGAATCCAGTGCAAGGCGGGTCAGGGGTCTTACCGTGCCGAAGTCGGTGGCAAGGGTCCTCCCGTGCCATAGTCTAGGGGGCGACGGGGCAGGTTTCTCTAGTGCAGGTGTCCAGGGTGTGGCAGGGCAGGAGTCCTCTTGTGCAGGAGTCCAGGACGTAGCCGAGGAGTCCTCCAATGTCAGAGTCCAGGGCTCTGCGGGGCCGGGTTCCCCCATGCCAGAGTGTAGGGCGCGTTCAGGTGAGGGTCTTGGCGTGCAGTAATCCAGGGTGCGGTGGGGCAGGGGTAGTCCAGACCTCCATGGCGGGCGTCCCTCTGTGCAGGAGCCCAGTGCCTGGCGGATCGGGGGTCCTTCTGTGCTGTAGTCCAGGGCACCGCAAGGTGTGGGTCCTCTGGTGCCCTAGTCCAGGGGGCGGCGAGTCAGAGGTTCTCCCGTGTCTCAGTCTAGGGCCTGGTAGGACTGGGGTCCTGGAGTCCACGTGGTAGCCCAAGTTGCCGCAGGACCAGGTACTCTGGAACCACAGTCCAGGGCGCTGAGGGGCAGGAGTAGTTCAGGGCGAGCCGGGGCCCAGGTCCTCGGGAGCCAGAGTCCAGGGTGTGGAGGGGTGGGGGTTCTGCAGTGGCACAGTCCAGGACACCGCGGGGCGGGACAGGGCGGGGATCCTCCCGTGCCTTAGTCCAGGGCTGAGCCGCGGGAGAGGTCCTTCAGTAGCACAGTCTAGCGCACGGCGTTGCAGGTGTCCTCCAGTGCCTGAGGCCACGGCAGGTCGCGGGTCCCACTGTGCTCTAGTTCAGGGCGGAGTGGGTCTGAGGTCTTCTCCTGCCTCAGTCTAGGGCGCTGGAGAGCGGGGATCCTCTGGTACCGGAGTCAATGGATCCACGGGTCCGGGTCCTCCCATGTTTTAGCCCCGGGAGGGGAGAGGCGGGGGTCTTCCTTTGCCCTAGTCCAAGGCATTGTGAGGCCCCGCTCCTGCATTCTTAACTGTCTGTGCCTCTGCCGCCGCGGGGTAAAACTGCACCATCTCAGGCAAGCCTAACAGAGCAGCTGTCCTTAAAAGATTCCCAGTTGAGTGTGGTTCGGAGCAGGCCTGAGAAGTGTGCCCTTAGTTGGCTTCAAGGGCTCTGGGCAGTGTTTAAGGAATCCAGCTGACCTCAGTTACTCCAAGCCCTTTTCCACTTGTTTTCTTCAGGCCTCCTTTCTTTGTGCCAGCATCAATGGGTTTTTGGTTAAAGTTTTCAGCAGCTGCCTGCAGTTCCATTTTTCTTACCAGGTAAGAGACATAGCTTCATGAAAACAAAGGGAGAAGGCTTGTGACCAGAGAACTCCCAGTCCTCTCCCTGCATAGGAAAACTGGACTTCTCCGGAGGGCTCCAGCTCCTGGGCAAATCTCTAGGGCCACTTAATTGGGCTGTCCCCCACCTTTGTTTCTGGTTTTGGAGGGGCCAAGGTTGGGAATCCTTTCTAAGTCTCTACACATGGAGCCCTTCTTTGGTGGGATAGTCTTGACATATACCAGGATTCTCATTGACCTTTCAGAGCCTTCAAGAATCCTGAGCTGCTTTGGCTTCTGTTCCTGGAAGAGATGCAACTGAACTGCTCTGGAGCTGGAGTTCAGGTTCAAATATTCATCACTGTTACTAAGCCTTTACATAGCATGTGATTTCTTTCCGGCAGGCTCATGGTCACTTAGGTTTGCTTGTATGTAGATGGAGGGTCTGCATCCTCATTCAGGTAACACCCTCAGCCTTTCATGCTGAGATTAGCCATTTTATTTGTAACTCACTGTACAATCCATTTGCTCTTCCAGTGTCCCTTAGAAGGATGCAGAGTGTTCTGTAGAATGCCATAGAGACCTGGATTTAGGGAAAATATTTGACCAAAAGTCTGCCAACTCACATGAGTATCTCCCAACAACTTGTACAGTGCTAGTCTCTGGGTATATAGCAAATGAAACCGTGCCTGAGCAGATGTTACAAACACCCTCCCCTGAGAGACTCCAGGGCTGCTTTATTCAAGCAAAACGGTGTGCTCTAATAAGCTCAGTGTTGAGAGGAACAAGTTTTCATTCCAGCTTTCTCAAAAACTCCCTTTGTGACTTTAGACATAATAATAATAACACTACCTAGGTAGTGAACACCTCTGCCAAGAAATATCATGATCATTACCTGAGTTGTAATTCTCACAGTAGTCCTGCAGGACAGCTGCTGTTACTGCTTATTATGCAGATGGGCAACCTGAGGCTCAGATGGAGTTAAGTGGCTTAATTGGTAGCAACAGAGCCAGGATTTGAACCCAGGGCTGCCTGATCACCAAATAAAATTGTACTCAACATGATGCACTTAACTTTTCTGGCCTCATTTCTCTCACCTGTAAAAATGCAGGTTTCAGATGTTGGTAATATTTTACCTGTGGTTGAAAGAGTTACCAGCCCTTCCTTGATCACCCATGGTAAGACCCATGAGCCTCTGAATATAATTATAGAAAACATTTGGAGAGGGATAGAGAGAGACAAGATCATGCCTCCTTTGATAATGTCAAATTTTCAGTGCACGAAGCCATACATAGTGCAGTTTTCTAGCTTCCCTTTCACACATGGCATTGAAGAAAGTAAATTAAGCAACTCAGCTAACACTGGGAATGCAGCAGAAGTAATCGAGTTCAGTGCTGGGAGACAGTTGCCATGATATTCCAACATGGACACCAGGATCACAGTCGATGACTATGCCCTCCCTTGAAGATGGTGGCTTGCCTCTCTTTCTGTAAGCACATGTCATGTCATAACAATATTAAACAATTGAAAGTAATGTCCCCATCTTCTTCTACACTGCCTTTGAATTATTATTTTAGATCTGCCAAAATAAATTGCAAACTCATTAACAAGAAAGGGGGGGTGCATGCATCCCTGCCTTCCCGAGTAGTCTATTCACCCAAAGACAAAAGGGTGACCAGCCTCCATCTGGGATATTCAAAGACACAGTCACCTTGCCATGCAGCCTGAGGCCAATCCCCTTTTTAAGAAGCTTGTTAGATGAGCTCCTTAAACATACAACCACAAAGGAAAAGCACAGCTGGTGTGAGCGAGGCTGATAAAATGGGCATTTTGTCTGCTTCAAGGTTAGAATGCAACTTGTCTATCAAAATGTGGTTATCTGACCTCCACAATGCTGCAGTCCAGCTAAATCATGCAAATATTCATCCACCATTTACTATGGATAAAACAATAATGTGCTGTGGGGAATCCAATTACACACACACACACAAAAGTGCACACACACATGCATGCACACACACTGCTCCTGCTGTCTCAGAGGTTCCAGGCTGGCAAGGAAGAAGTGCAAACATTAGTAGGTAAGTCCACTAGCAGGAGGAATGTGATAAGTAGATCCAACAGGGTACAACACAGTATGATAGAAGCAAACAAGGTAGAAATGAGTTCTGACTCCCTTTCACTTATGAAACTGATTATGGAATAGTGTATGAAAGGCTTGCCTGAATGAATCTCATATTTTCCAAGTGTTTTCTATCCCAGCGATTGGAACTTTCATTCATTTATACCATTGTCCAAAAGGAAAATACAGGAGATTTTCCTAAGACCATCCTCTGTCTTATCGCTCATATCATATCCCCAAACATCACCAAGCCCTGCCCACTTTTACCTACTCAGTTTCTCTCCAGTTGTTCTGTTTTCTCCATATGCACTAGTGGTACCTTGGCTACATGAAGACCACCAGCAGCAGCTGGGACAACCAGCACCCTGTGGAACTGCACAGCATGCATAGAATACGTCCTCCCTTCAGTTGGCTTGGGTCAGCTTAGGTCATGGGCCACTTGGACTGATAGCAGTTTCCACAGAAATGCCTCAAGATGGTAGAATAATCCAGATCTCTTTGCATGGGGCATGGTGTGGCTATCTGAGAAAATCCTGGCTTTTATAGGAAGGAGAAAGAAGAATGCTTCTTGAGGGGAAGAAACCAACAGGAATGTGCCTCAGGGAAATGTCACCAGAGGAGAGTGAGCTGTAATAAGTATTTTGGCAGATTGCATGTTTCTTGTGTTCCTTGGCCCTGCACAGAGCTACCGTTTACTCATTTGACAAATATTTGAGTAGTAGACTCCAGGGTTCAATAGTGAGCAAACATGCACAGAATTTCTTCTCTAGTGGAGCTGAGAGTCTAACAGAAAGAGCTGACATTAGTCACAGAATTATGTAATAAGGGAAAGTTCAGCAGACCCAGGGGTGCTACAAGAGCCTGGGAAGGCGGACTGACCCCAAGAGGGAGGCAGGAAAGGTTGCCCCCAGGAAGTAGCACTTGAGCTACAATCAGGGAGAAAACTAGGCAAAGACACAGCATTCAGGAGAAGGTAGAAGTTGGCCCATGAGGATGGTGGTGTGGAGAGGTGAACCAATACCCAGGTCTTGGATTTATTGTTGAGCTGCTGAATTAACCAGTGCTGGCTCTCTCCCAACCTCTGCACTTCTTTTTTGCAAGGTTATATATTTTTTTATTTAAAAGCTAGTATGAGTTGGGATCTGTTGCTTTTCTGAGACCCCATCCTGTGAGGTAAACAGGGGGCCTCACTGTACTCTGGGGAAGCTAAAGATGGAGAACAGTTTTAGAGTGCCTGGAGAAGAGGCCCTTTAATAGATCATTTAAGAAGAGGGTGCTACCGCTAGACTGCCCAGATTCACTTTCTGGCTTTGTGACCTTGGGCTCTCTGTGTCTGTTTTCCAATCTGAAAAATGAAATAATGATAGTATCTGCCTCTGCCTGCAAGACCCTGACCCATCAGACCAACTACCTTTTCACTAGAACTCTCTTCCTGCACTGTACCCCAACTGGACCCTCATTAACACTTAAAATGGGCATGTTTCCCTTTTCTAGATTTTGCTCAAGACATTTCCCTCATCAGAATTAACTTTGGTCCATCTCCCTCTATTGAAATTCAACCCATTCTCCAGAAATCAGTTCAAATTTTATCACCAGAAAGCCTCTCTCAATTATACCAAGCCTCTTTTATACTTTGTGCCATTTCTGCCATGATTTCTTATGTTTTCCTTTTTCACTACATATTGGTATAGGTACATATGATCTCCACTTCCACTCAAATGTGAGGTTACTGAGGGCAATCCCTATGGGTATAGTCATATCCCAAGAGTCCTGGGCAGAGGGTGTCCCTCTTTCACCCAGGTTGGAGTGCAGTGGTGCGACCAGAGCTTACTGCAGCCTTGACCTCCTGGGTTCAAATGATCCTCTCACCTTAGCCTTTCCAGTAGCTGGTACTAAAAAGTGGGCACCACCATGCTTGGCTAATTTTCATATTTTTCATAGAGATGGGGTTCCACCACGTTGCCTTGCTTGGTCTCAAAGTTCTGAGCTCAAGCAATCCACCTGCCTCGGCCTCTCAACATCCTGGAATGACAGCATGAGCTACCACACCTGGCCAAATGCCGAATACTTTAGTCATATATGCCTGACACTTCCAGGGCATGCAGAACTGCCTCGCTTACTTTTCTTTTGACACAGTTAATAAATTTTCTTAATTTAAATTTTAATTTCAACATGTATACATCTTTGAAATAAATAAAATAATCTCTTTGAATGTTTGGCATAATGTAGAAGAAATTGACAAATGGATATCTTTACTTCATTTTCCATCTCAAAATGTGGTAGAAATATGCTCCCCTAAAGTGATCCCAATTATTACATAGCCATCTTGCTGTGGTTAATGTAGAATCTTTTTGCAATATCACATTCATGACAGGGCACATCCAAGAAACATTTAAGTGAAGATAATACTAGATTCTTGAAAGTATCTAGACACTTAAGAGCAGGTAGTGATGATGTTAATTAACAGTAACAATGTCGAGGGACTGGCTTTTGCCCTTCCCTAATAAACATAAACAGCATAGAAACTCAGCAAATTTGCTCTTATTTTCTTCATTATTTGGTTGTTGAATCAGTAAATGCTTTCCACAGGGGTCATCTTGTTAGTCATCTTGTCATTTTGCTGTGTCCCTTCTTCATCCTTGCACTTTTTCCTTTCTCTCATTTTGGCATGTATTGAGAGGAGTGTTATGTTGATGGAATGCCCTATCCTGACTTGCCATCTGATTAGAACTTCCCTAAATTTTTAAAATGCTTCTTGAAATGGTTTGGATTTGTGCACCCCCCATCCCCAATCTCATGTGGAATTGTAATTGCCAGTGTTGGAGGAGAGGCTTAGTGGAAGGTGTTTGCATCATGGAGGTGGTTTCTAATGGTTTAGCCTCATCACCCTAGTGCTGTCTGATGATAAAGTTCTCCCAAGATCTGCTTGTTTAAAAAGTGTGTAGCACCTCCCCTGACTCGTTTCAGCCATGTGAATATGTGCTTGCTTCCTTTTCACCTCTGCCATGATCGTAAGTTTCCTGAGGCCTCCCTATAAGCATAAGTCTGTACAGCCCACAGAACTGTGAGCCAATTCAATCTCTTTTCTTTTTCAATTACCCATTCTCAGGTATGTCTTTATATCAGTGTGAGACAGACTAATACACTCCTCCTCAGAAAGCATTCAATTTAGCTGTGTCTAAAGGTATGCCAGCTGTCCTGGGGCATTATCTTAGCCAATCATTCTTCCTCTTCAGCAAGATCTATTTGCCTATCACAGCTTGACCTGCAGTTCCTGCCATACTTGTCAGTAACAAGTAGCCTATAATATCTGGAGGGATTTCATTGAAATCACAGAGGTTCCTTGGCTCTTTACTTTATTAACAGGCATTAGGAAAGCACATCGACTTTCTTATTTAATAAAATGCCTGTTGCTTTGAAAAATTGCTCAAAAGAAGAAAAGAGAGGGTTACTTAAAGATATCACTATAGGCATGGCATGCTGGTCCACACCTGTAATCCAAGTACTTTGGGAGGCTGAGGAGAGAGGATCACTTGAGTCCAGAAGTTCAATACCAGCCTAGGTGACATGGCAAAACCCCATCTTTACAAAACAAAACAAAATAGAAAAAATATTCAGGCACAGTGGCATGTGCTTGTATTCCCAGTTACTCAGGAGACTGAAGTGGGAGAATCACTGAGCCCAGGGAGGTTGAGGCTGCAGTGAGCCATGATCGTGCTGCCCCTCTCCAATCTGGGTGACAGAGCAAGACCCTGTCTCAAAAAAAAAAAAAAAAAAAAAAGGCTATCACTATACTATCTATAACTATTCTTAATTAGGATAACTAGGTATTTTCCAACAGTGGAAACTCCAAACAGACTAAATTGTTGTACATCAAGGTGAATTGTCATAGTTAATTCCTTTGCTTGCAACTGTCCAATAAATGGATGAGGACTCACTTCACCAATAAATAAGAAATGTGAACAGCACATGGGGCCTGTAGATGCCTTTTGCAGGGCCCTCTTTTTCTCTTCCTAAAGTTGCAATTTGCGTGTTTCTGTAGATGGGCACATCATAGAAACTGTCATCCTAGATCAGAGCCTGGAGAGAGAGATACAAGTGTCATGCTTACATATGCAGAGTGGGAACAAGCCCAGAGAAATCAAGATGATTAAGCAGAAAGTTTCCATACTGGAGATAAACCAGCTGTGTAAAAAATCATGCTTATTGAACAAAAAAGCATTGCACAGCTGAAATAACTGCTTTAACTAAGAAGTGAAGAACTGACACCTGAACAGAGCACAGATAGCCACACAGACAGGAGCTGCATTTCAAACAAGGTCATTGCTGTTGTCCCCACTCCAAATTAAGTGTCTCTGCTTCACCCTTCCTTACCAAAGTTCTGCTTGATCATCCTTTTGTTTTGTTTTGTTTTGTTTTTTGTACTTCACTTCTTTGAGAAAATATAAACCAAAATTTTACATGAAACAGGAATTCAGCTTTTGACAATGTTAGCCATTGAAACAACAACAAAAAAAGTTTCTATTATTTCTCATCTCTGTGCTATCCAGTGCAGTAGCCAATAGCCACAGGTGACTATTAAAATTAAAATTAATTCAAATAAAACAAAATTTAACATTAGCTGGTCAGTTGTACTAGCCACATCTCAATTACTCAATAGCCACATGTGGCTAGTGGCTACTGAACTAGGCAGCATGAATGTAGAACATTTTCATCATCATAGCTTTCTAGGTCATGGAAAAATTGCAGAACTCAATTTCCAGTGTGCACATTTATTTGCATGCCTAGGAGCTTTCTGACCCTGTGTTGAGCTGCCTAACCAGCTTCCTGATTGACCTCCTGATATTTCTGCAAATGTGGACTAAGAGGCCAGGAGTCCTCAGGGCCCAGGTGACTCAGGTTATTCAGTAATTATGTTTGGACTAGCAGGCCTCTACTTAATTTGGGATGCAAAAGGGGACTTCTCTTCCTAATTGCTAAAATAGCTTTTCAAGGTTCACCTCTCATCGTGGTAAGAGTCTCATTTCCTGAGACTCTTATTTCTTTCCATGACTTATGTTATATTCTGGAGAGAGTGGATTCACATGGAAAAGCTGGCTCTGTGCTGGCTTTCCAGGGGTCAGCCCTCTTGTGAGTGACAAGTCTGCCTATTTACATGATGTACATTGTGTCCCACTACTGGTAATAGAAGCTCAGCAGCTGATTGACTGTTAGGTTATTTTCAAAGCTCAATATTCACAATAATCTAACAGACACCCACACAACCACAAAGACAGACAAGGCTCTCATAACCTGCAAAAGACAAGGTGCACATTTCTTCTTTCCATCCCAGCAACAAATTGCCAACCCAGCCAGCACTTAAGTTGGGGTAAAAATTAATTAAAAGAAGAATCTACCAATGTAGATAAAAGAACAAAAAAGCTATTGCAGCTGTCTTCTCCATAACAGAGGCCTGTGATTTGAATTTTAATGTTTCAATCTACTTTCTGCTCTTGTGTTTATTTTATTATTTATTTTTTGTCACTATCTCTTATTTGTAGATACAAATTTTTCACATTTAAAAGCTATTTTAAATATAATCTTTAAAAGGAGAAACATTATTTTTTTTAATTGCACAAAATACTGAAGGTGAGTTCCACTGATTGGAATGCAAAATGGGACAATATCTCTGGAAGCAATTTTATCCAGATAAATCAATAGCTTTAAAACAATTCAAAACCTTGGACCTAATACCTCTACTTCTAGGAAGCTAGCCTATGAAGGTTTCTGCTGAAGGATGTTTATCACAGTATTATTTATAATGCAAAAAAGCCAAAGAGGAGACCTGAAATGTTTCAAAGATGAAAATGGTTTGATAAACAACATTTTTTTAGACGGGGTCTCACTCTGTTGCCCAGGCTGGGGTGCAGTGCCACGATCTTAGCTCACTGCAAAATCCATCTCCCAGGTTCAAGCAATTCTCCTGTCTCAGCCTCCCAAGTGGCTGGGAATACAGGCACACCCCACCAAGCCTCACTATTTTTTTGTATTTTAGTAGAGATGGGGTTTCCCTGTGTTGCCTAGGCTGGACTCAAACTCCTAAGCTTAGGCAATCCATCTGTCTTGAACTCCCAAAATGCTGGGATTAGAGGCGTGAGCCACTACACCTGGCAATAAACAACATATTTAAACACTAGAATATTATGCAAAAATTCCAGGCATGCTTTGGAAAAACTATTAATCCCACAAAAGATGCTTATGTTATTATACAGACTAAGAGACCAAGATTCTCCAGGACACTTACTGTGTTACATGTCTGAAGTATAATATAATGCTGTATATAAAATGTGACCTCAACTCAGGCCCCAGTCTTTTCATCTGGAAAATTCTATTAATTATACTGCCCTTCCCCTTTTTAGATTTTCTGTAGGAGTTAAATACAATACACTTTGTCAATTGCTTAACACCATGCTCAACACTGGTCAGAGAGATATAAATGTCAGCTATTGTACTATGTGCCAAAAAAAAAAACAAAAAACCACACAGACAGACACACACACACACACACAAAGACACACATGGAGGGAGAGGAAGTAAAGATTAGAAAGCAGCACATAATGTTATGGTAGGCAATGGGACCACTAATGATTTTCATATTCTTTTTTATTTTCTTCTTTATACTGCTTACATTTTTCAGTGTATACAATGAGCATGTATTACTTCTGTAACCAGAAGAATGTGGTATAAACCTCACCTTAATATAATAAAACAAAATTACTGGCCAGGCACGGTGTCTCATGCCTGTAATCCTAGCACATTAGAAAGCTGAGACTAGTAAACCTCTTGAGCTCAAGAATTTGAAACCAACCTGAGCAATATAGTGAGACCTTGTGTCTGCAAAAAATGCAAAAATTAGCCAACCATAGTGGTATAGAACTGTAGTCCTAAGTTACTTGGGAGGCTGAGGTGGGAGGGTGGCTTGAGACCAGGAGGTGGCTGCAGTGAGCTGTGATTGCACCACTGCACTCCAGCCTGGGTGAAAAAGCCAGACCCAGTCTTATACAAAAATATAAACAAATATACAAAATATACAAAAATAAAAACAAACAAACAAAAAAGTTATTACTTAGATCCCACATGCTGTCTTGGAGCCATTGTAGCATTGCGGGATTCAAGAGACTGGAGAGACCAATGGATGAGACAGGAGGATTTTATTAAAGTGGCCACTGGCCTAGTGGATTCGCATCCAAAAGGCTGAGCTCCGAACAAAGATGGGGCCTGGTTTTTAAGCATGCAGCTGCGTGAAACTCACAGGGCGGGATGGCAAGCTTATAGAAGCAGAACAAAGGCAGTTAATCAAACAGTGACAGGTGTATGACTCAAACATGCCTGGTGACCTCTGCTGGGCTGCCCAGCAGGCTCTCAGTGGATGGTCACTATTTTAGGCTTGCTCAGGCATGTCTTGTGACCTTCTCAGTGTTGCACAGATGGAAAACAGGAACTTACAAAATCCTTACAAACTTACAGAAATAGTTACAAAAATAATTATGAGAGCAGAGCAAAGACATACTGGCCTAGGAAAGAATCTCAAAGGGGGAAGCTGATAAGAAGAACTTATTTTTCTCATCCCCGTTCCTGGAGTCCGTTCCTTCTGTGCTCTGCTTGACCTTGTACATAAAGTTAGCTTAGTCCTAGCAGGGCCTTGGAGTGAGTCAGCCTGGTACAGGCAGGAATTTAGGTTTTTCTCCTTTTAATTTCTGCTTTTGTAAGCCAGGGTTCTGATTGTCACTGCTGAGAAAGTAAAGTGTGTTCAGGCTGTCCATGGTTCTGGGCTCCCTTGGGTCTCTGAGGAGGATTGTCCCCTCCATCACAGAGAATATCAGGACACTAGCCTGTTCCTAGTTATACTTACACACTCTTCTCATGTTGTCTATGGAGTGGAGGCTGCAGGGAGGGTGACATCCTAGTTAGTCCCAAGTGCCAGACTGCCTGAAGCTCACTGTTAACAAGTCCTGCCTTGGAGAAGAAGGAAGGGTGTCTTTGTGAACCTCCCACCTGGGCCAAAGGGAGGCCACTCTCTCCTCTGCTTCTCCCCAACCTTGGTCTTCTGCACTCCTAGTGAACCTCTCACCCCATGCCTACAGGCCTGGAATCTCAAGACCATGATGGCCTCTCATCACCCCTGAATCCAGAGCTTTCCCTTTACAAAGGGAAAACTGAGACCTGGAGCAGGGCTGATGTTCAGCCAGTGCACAAGGGAATAGATGAATTGGTGGTGAAATACTGAAATAGTTCCAGGGTGGATGGAAAGGGGCCGCTGCCCTGAACATCTCTACCCCCCACCTCAGCCCATCCTCCAGGACCCTGGGTCAGCACCAGGAGCATCAAAGTGGCCAGGATTGGCTGAAGCCCATGCTAATGGCTCTGCCAGCTCTTCTCCCCACTAGAGAGGGCAGGGGAATTCAGGCCATCTGGAGGTAGCGCTGTGACCGTGTATGCAGTAGTCAAACCTTGTGTGCCACCATCCCTGACTTTGTTGATAAGGGCATCAGGCTACATCCCTCTGGTACTCAGTGGTAAGCATCTAAAATCTTAAAGAAAAAATTTAAAAAGCTTTCAAAATATAGGAGTTAACATATAAGCCTGCATAAACATCTCTTTAGCAGTTGTCCAACTGGTGCTTCTGGTTCTGCCTCCCCAGAGAGTGGATGACCTGGGCCACCCTCCACCACTGCCCCATAAGGCCATTGGACACGCAGCCCATCAGTTCTCTTCACGTGGTCATCCCCCTTTAGATGGGAGAAAATACACCTGCCTCATTTTTGTACCTTCTGTGTGGACATTCCATGACAGAGCTTCACTAAATGTATGATGAAGAACTGAATGAATGAATGAATGAATGAATGAATATGAGAGCAAATGAATGAATGGCTCAGATCCTGGGCTGGAAGGCTGTGTATGAGGATGGTGGGTAGAGGAGGGTCTGTTTTTCTTGCCTTTAAGTCATTACTTGTCATTTTGGGGCAGGAGCACAGGCTTTGAATGCCGACTGACTGGACTTTAATCCTGGCTTTACTAGCTGTGATTGTGTGACCTCGTACATGTTACTTAAACCCTCTGTGCCTGTTTCTTTATCTGTAAAATGGAGACAATAAGATGACAAAGGACTGTGGTAAGAATTAAATGCTTTAAAAAAATCGCAGTTTGTATTAAGTCCTCAATAGATTGGGTTTAGCATCATGAGTGCATGTGTTTCTGCAGCAATGCTCATCTTGGGCTGGATGGTGCCTACACAGAGAAAGACTCTGGCCTCTTCTCACCCACATGTATCTGTCTTATGCCTGGTTCCCATTCCCAGATCCTTGGAAGATCCATATTGCTGAAATGGTGAAGGGTGATGGGCACCTCAGGACAACTAAGCTGCTCCCCAAACATCTTCCCCCTCCCAAACTCTCCTGTGGTCTTTAGCATTTAACAGGAATCTCTCGACACTCTCAAGGGGTGATCTTCTCATGGAAGACCAGTGGGGAGGAGGCTGCAGGAAAGGTCAGGCACTGTGCACTTACTTCCCTGACAGCTGCAAGTGGTTCTGTTTCCAAGCCCATGGGTCACTATGAATAAGGCAAGTTATATGACATAATAATGTGATTCTTTGGTGCCTCAGTCCACACTGGCACTTTAATACTCCTAGAGTGGATTGCATGGTGGTCTATCAAAAGATATGTCTACCTGGAACTTGTGAATGTGCCTTTATTTGGAAAACAATCTGCAGATGTAATTAAATCCAGCACCTTGAGATGAGGGCATCTCATCTTGGATTAGGATGGGCCCTAAATCCAATGACAAGTATCCTTATAAGAAAAGCGGCAGGTAGGGCACAGTGGCTCAAACATATAATCCCACCACTGAGGAAGGTCAAGTTGGGAGGATCCCTTGAACTCCAGGCGTTCAAGACCTGCCTGGGCAACATGGTAAGACCCTGTCTCTCCAAAATATATATAAAATATAACAGCCAGGCATGATGGCACCTGCCTGTAGTCCCAGCTACCAGCTAATCAGGAGGCTGAGGTGACAGCATACCTTGAATCTGGGAGATTGAGGCTTCAGTGAGCTGTGATCATGACACTGCCCTCCAGCCTGGGTGGCCCCTGGCCCCTCCACAACCTGCGCTAGAAGAGCTGGGCCCTGGCTCTGGGCACCATGCAGCCTCTAAGGTGGGGCTGAGCGCCAGTTCCTGCCCTCCTGCAGCTGGGGACCAATACCCTGACTTAGGCGCTGTGGAGGCTTCTGGCCCAAGGGTCCGCACTGCTGGTGGCACTGGCAGGGTCAGAGTTTGCCACAGCTGCTGCTGCGCGCCTTGTGCAGGTTACCACTGCAGCTGAACCTACAGCAGAAGCAGGCAGGGCTGGTCCCAGACAGCCTGGGGGTCTCTAAGTGCAGGGCCCTTTCACCCTAGAGTCAGCTCTTTCTTGCCGGCACCCATAGCGGGGTGTGCAGGCGCTGGGTACAGGGCAGCAGCCAGGAAATGGCTGAGCGGCCTGTTCCCGCCCTCCTGCAGCTGGGGCCTGACCACCTGAATTAGCCGCTGGGCGAGGTCTGGCCCTGGGATCCGCCTGGCTGGTGTAGGAGCACGGTCTGGGGTTGCCTCCAAGGCTGCTGCGCGCGCCATGTGCAGGCAAGGGTTTCCCAGACAGCCTCAGGGTCATGGAGTGGACCACTGTCCCAGCCTGGAGTCCGCTCTTCCTTTGCCTGCTCCCAGAGTTCCGGGTCGCGGGCACTGGGAACTGTGCCGCCAAGGGGACTGGGCCGAGGGCAAAGGTTTCTGCCCTGCTGCAGCTGCGGGGCTGACTGCCTGAATTAGGCGCTGAGGCGGCGTTGTCCCTGGTGTCCTGGCTCTTGGTGGTGCAGGCAAAGTGCCCGGTTGCTCTGCTGCTGCGGCGCCGTTGTACAGGTGGCAGCTGTAGCTGAGTTCTCAGTAGGGGCCGGCAGGGTTGGTCCTAGAAAGCGTGAGGATCGCCGAGTGCACTGCCCTCCCAGCCTAGGGTCCACTCTTCCTTGGCCCGAGCCCAGAGCTCGGGGTTTCAGGCGCTGGGCCCTGTGCAGCTGCCCAGAATAGGCTGAGCGGCAGGTTCCCGCCCTGGCAAGGGATCCAGCAGTGGAATCCTCACTGCTGTTGGCGGCGGGCAAGGTCAGCGGGGTTTCCATCGCTGCTGGTGGGAGCCACCTGGCGGTGGTAGCTGCAAGTGAGCGCGTGGCAGAGACTGGCAGGGCTGGTCCCAGACACCCTGAGGGTCTCTGGGTGCATCGCCCTACCACCCTAGGGTCTGCTCTTCCTTAGCCTGCTCCCAGGACGCGGTGTACGAGGGCTAGACTCTGAGCAGCCTCCAGGATGGGGCTGAGCAGCGGATTCCTGCCCTGCTGCAGCTACAGTCTGAATTAGGCGCCACCGCAGTATCTGGCCCTGGGGTACGTGCTACTGGGTGGCATGGACAGAGATGGGGGCTGCCACAGCTGCTATGGGGCTGAGCAGCCGATTCTCGCCCTGCTGCAGCGGGCGACCGCTGCAATCCCCAGCGCTATGGGACCGACCACCTGACTTAGATGCCTTGGAGGCATCCGGTCCTGGGGTCTTGCTGCTGGTGTCTGCGGGCAGGGTCACGGCTGCCACTACTACTGCTGTGCGCCATGGGCAGGTGCCAGCTGCAGCTGAGTCCGAGGCAGATGCTGTCAGGGCTGGTCTGAGGTTGCCTAAGGGTGGCTGAGTGCACCACCCTTCCACCCCAGGGTCCGTTATTCCTAGGCCGGCTCCCAGATTGCAGGGTTGTGGGCGTTGGACACTGTGCAGCCATGAGGATCTGGTTGGGTGCAGATTCCCGCCCTCCTGCAGCTGAGAAGCCAATCTCATAACAGGCGCTGCAGTGACCTCTGGCTCTGCGGTCCGCGCTGCTGCTGGAGCTGGCAGAGAACAGAGCTGCCACCGCTGCTGCTTCCAGGAGTGTGCAGCTGGCAGCTGCAGCTGAGCCCGTGGCGGAGGCTGGAAGGCCTTATTCCAGAAGCCTTGAGGGTCCCCGAATGCACCGCCCTCCCACCCTAAGGTCCAGTCTTCCTTGCCCGCGCCCAGAGAGTTGGATTGCAGGCGCTGAGCACAGTGCAGGTGCTGGGATGGGGCTAAGCTGAAAGTTTCCGCCCTCTGGCTGCTGCGGGGCCGACAGCCTGAGTTATGCGCCGCGGCGGCTTTTGGTCATGGGATCCGCACTGCCGGTGGCTTGCACAGGGTCGGGGGCTGCCACAGCTGCTATAGTTCACCGTGTGCACGTGGCAGCCGCCCCTGAGCCCACCGCTGAGGCTGCAGGGCTGGTCCGGTCCCAGACGGCCTGAGGGCCATTTGCCCGCGCCCAGATCCGGGTGGCTGCGCTGGGCACTGTGCAGCCTCCCGGAATCCGCTGAAGGGCACGTTCCCGCTCTCTTACAGCTGTGGGCCGACTGCCTGATTTTGGCCACTAGGTGGAGTCTGGCTCTAGGGTTTCGAGGCCGCTGGTGTTGGTGGGCGGAGTCCGGGTTTGCCACCGCTGCGCTCCATGAGCAGGTAGCAGCTGCAGCGGAGCTTTAGACCGAGGCTGGCAGGGCTGGCCCCAGACGGCCTGAGGGTCAGGGAGTGCAGGGTCCTCCCACCCTAGGTCCGCTCTTCCTTTGCCCTTACCCAGAGCGGGTTGTGCGGGCTCTGGGCTCTGTGCCGGCGCTGGGCTCTGTGCAGCCGCCGAGATGGGGCTGAGCAGCGGATTTCCTCCCTGCTGCAGCTGGAGGACGATTACCTGCACTAGCCGCTGAGGCGGCATCTGGCCCTGGGTTACTGCAGCTGGTGACGCGGGCAGGGTCAGGGTTGGTTGCAGGTGGCAGCTGCTGCTAAACCCATTGCGAGCCTCAGGGTCACCAAGTTCACCGTCCTTTCATCATAGTATCTGATCTTTGGCCCGCGCCCAGAGTGCGGACTGGCCTGCGCTGGGGACTGCATAGCTTCTGGGGGCCGGTCAGCGCCAGTTTCACGTCCTCCTGCAGCTGCGTGGCCTAAGGTCTTAGGCGCCGCGGCGCTATCTGGCCCTGCTGTCGACGCTGCTGGTGGTGGGGACAGGGTCAAGGGTTGCCACTGCTGCTCCCGTGCGCCATCGGCAGGTGGCAGTTGCAGATGAGCCCACAATTGAGGCTGTTGGGGCTGCTCCCAGGTTGTTAGAGGGTCGCCGAGTTCACCGACATGCCACCCTAGGTTACGCTCTTGGCCCGCACCCAGAGCGCCGGGTTACGGGTCCTGGGCCCTGTGCAGCCACGGGGATGGTGCTGAGTGCAGGTTCCCGTCTTCCTGAGATGCGGGGCGACCACTGGAATTAGCCTCTGTGGTGGTATCTGACCCTAGGGTCCGAGCTGCTGGTGGCGTGGGCGGGGTCGAAGTCGCCTCTGTTGCTGCGGCGTGCCATTTGCACCGTCCTCTGGTACAGGCTGGTCTGTGCTGTGCATGGTCAATGTAGTCTTCTCTGGGCATTCTTCACAGATATCTGCTGGCATGGCTCATCTTCTCTTTGATTTTGCATGTATTGTCACCCACTGATGAAGTTTCTGGTCACCTGCCATTTTCCTCTAGCCACCAAGACCTCACATTCTGAGGCCAGCATGTCCCACCAGGGGCCTCCACTGGCCCTGTCAAACCAGTTGTGAGTCCCCCTCCCACCAAGCTTGGAGAGACTGGCTTTTCAGACAGCACTCACAAGCTGAGAGTAAGGGAATTGATCTCTTAGGCACTTCCCCCTGTCCTGCCACTCTGTCATTCCTGGAACACCCTATGTGCACTAGAGAAGTAAGACATCAGCCTGCATATTTTCTCATCTTTCTTTAACTGTCTATTTTTTCCTATCTATCTGTATGAGTGAGTCCCAGGAAGATGTTGGGGCTGAATACCTGATCAGAGACACAGGCAGAGCCATAGTCACATCTCCTGGGAACTTTCTTCTTCCTGTGTAATTAAAAGCTCTTCTCTTCCTCTTGTTCATAGAAATTCCCCTTACACTAAACCTTTGACTGAAACCATCCCCTCAGCTTGATAAAATTTTAGACAGGATTATTTCTGATTCTTGGCTCCTGGCCTCTTTTATTAGCATATTTTAGAAATGTTATCATTGTAAATTCTCTCTCTGCCTCTTTGATATATAAATCTTTTTAAGAGCCCATCTGCCAGTTTTACACTTCAGAAATGTCCATTTCAAGGACCTCAGAGCCATTCCTTTGAAATGTAATCCTCAAGAAAGATAACACCATTATCTCCCAGACTCCATAAGAGAGTAAGAGCCAAATTATGGTGGGCATATTGCTCTGATTTGTAAAATTACCTTCTGTCATAAAGATAAGATAGTTTAATGTTCCTTTGGAAAAAGACAACTGTCAAAAACAAGTGGCCTATGATCACCCCCTCATCCCAGCTCTTAAAATCTCTACTGCTGTTTGTTTCAGTGGAGCTGAGTTCAGACTAAGTTCTGGCCTCTTTGTCCTTTTGCAATAGCCTTCAATAACAGCTTTTTTATGTGTTTAACTTCGTCTGGTGCAATTGTTTTCTTTGACACTTTCCACCCTAACTAGAACTTCCATTAAAGTCATAGTAGGATTCAAGGCAGCCAAACTCGACTCACATACGTAAAAAAACTTCTTAGGATGTAGAAACCCATATTCTCTTCAATAAATTGTTTCTTCAGACCATTGCCTTATTAAAAGTTTCTAGTTCTTATTTTGGCATTGAAAAGCAGAACACCAATTTTTAAATAAGTCTCTGCTCACTTTTAATTTCTGCTATAACAATTTTATTGCTTTCCATGGCTGAACAACGAGAAGACCAGAACACAATTTTAAATTAAATTTTATTTAATTTTTACTATTACAATTTTATTTCTTTCTCTGACTGAAAGAAGAAAACTCGAATAAAGTAGTCTAGTGTATAAAGTGAAGACTAGAACAAAGAATAATGTCTTATTAATACATTTCAGAAAGTTACCTCCATTTAACATCAATGGTGTCATTTAATATTCTTAACTTTCCTATCAAGTAGATGCTATTATTATCTCTATTTTATAGGATATTAAGTCTTATATATTATACATAACCAGCTGAAGGTCATGTAGCATGTAGATATGATAGGAATACAAAGAAACAATGACATTAGAAGCAGAGGAGGGAGAAGGATTACAAGGCTAAACCTAGGTCAGTTAAGAGAAAAAGAAAAACTAGGAGAAGACAAATTCTTGTTAGAAAAAAAAAATGATTGAGGCAGAGCAAGACAGTGGTGCAGACCTCTCCAGCTATCGTACCCCTATAGAAACATCAATATGAACAACTGTCCACATGTGAAATTACCATTACAAGAGCCAACAGAACCTCAATACATGAACAAGGTTATGAAGCACCTTTAGCCTGTGAAGATGGGTGAAACCATGGCTTATGCAGTGAGAGAACCAATACTCTGTGACTGTGATACTCTTCCCTCAGGCCGTTATGGTACCATCTGCAGAAACTCCCACAGGGCTTATAGTTTTTACACTGAAGAAAGTGAGCAGGAGTTTGATATTTGTTTTTTCCACTATATTGAGTTCTTTCACAGTAGCCTCACTCCTGTATCAGCCCACAAGTGGCACCATGAGTGCCAAAAGGGATGAACCACCTGAGGCATGTTAATGACATAAGAGGAGGTGGGGCCAGCAACAGCCACCATGTGAAACATAATACACAGACTCTACAGGCTTGACGGCCTGACTTGTTCTCCCCCATAGCCAGGGGCTCCCTGTGGATCACCCATGGGCCCAGCCAGCAAATGTTGCATCAGTGGAGCCATTGGAAGACTTACGTCTAACATGGGATTTGGGCTCTCTCTAACGTTAAACTGGAATACGATGATAAGTCCACTCAAAATTTCTTAATAGGCCCACTTAAAAGTAGTCACAAGCAAACCCAGACTGAGAAGACTCAAATAAACATCTAATTCATCAATGTGTAGACAGAGATGTATATCTACATATAATAATGATAGCTTAGGAAAAGTTCCCTCTCCAAATGGACAAAACAAGGTGTCAGCAACTGAACTTAAAGACATACAGATGAATGATCTGGCAGGCAAATAATTCAAAATGGCTGTCTTAAGAAGAGCCTGAACACTGAGAAGCAGAGACACAATTCAGAAATTTACCAGAGAAATTCAACAAAGAAATCAAAATAATGGGAAAAATCACATGTAAACCCTGGAGCAGGAAAGTTCAATGAACACATTGAAAATCCAACGGAAGGCATCAACAGAAGGAAGAACTGATCAAGCAGAAGAAAGAAACATTGAGCTCAAACAACAGGCTCTTTGAAAATACATGGTCAGAGTAAAATGAAAAAAAAGAATGAAAAGAAACAAAGAAAGTTTATGAGATTTGTGGGACACCAACAAAAGAGGAAATCTACATATCATTGGTGTTAAAGTGGAACTAAGAATGAAAAAGAGATAGTTTATTCAAAGAAATAACAGAAAACTTTTTAAACCTGGAGAAAGATTAAAATGTTTAGGATGGTCAAAGTGCCCAATCATATTTAATCTGAATAAGACAACCAAAGACATATTATAATTAAACTCTCAAAGGTCAAAGACAAAGAGAAGACCCTGAAAGGACTAAGAAAAAGGAAACAACACATAAGAGAATTCCATTATGCCTGGCAGCAGACTTCTCAGCAGAAGCACTACAGGCCAGGAGAGAGTAGGATAATAGATTCAAGTGCTGAATTAAAAAAACTGTCAACCATGAATAAAGTATCCAGCATAGCTATCATTTAGAAATAAAGGAGAGATTGAAACATTCTCAGACAAACAAAAAGCAAAGGAATTCATTGTAATCAAACAAGCCTTACAAGAAATGCTAAATATTGTTCTTCAAACTGAAAGGAAATGGCAGCAATATGTAGCACAAAAAATCTGAAGGTATAAACCCACAGATAGAAGTGAGGATTCAGACAAATTTGGAATGCTCTAATACGGTAATAATTGGATGTAAACCACTTATATATCCTTAGTAGGAAGGTTAAAATACAATACAAATAAAATAATAATTACAATAATTTGTTAAGGAATAGAAATATACAAAGATGTAAATTAAGACATCAAAAATGCAAAATGTGAGGGAGTGATGAAGTTAAAGAGTAGAGTGGTTTCTTTTCCCCTTTTTTTGAATCAAAATTAAGTTGCTATCTCTTTAAAATAACTTACTGTAACCATAAAATGTTCTTTGCATGCCTTGTGGTAACCACAAAGCAAAAACTTTTAATAGATACTTTAAAAATTAAAAAAAAAGAAACCGAAACACACTGATAGAGTAAATCACTTAATCACAAAGGAAGATAGTGAAATCAATCAATCAATCAAAGTATAAATTTTTAAAAAACATGAAAACAAGTAATAATATGGCAGGACCAAGTCCTTGCCTATGAATAATTATCTTGTATGTAAATGGATTATCCCATTTAAGACATATAATGGCTACACTGATTAAAAACAAGACCTAACTATAAACTTTCTACAGGAAATTCACTTCATCTGTAAATACACACATAAATTGAAAGTGATCAGATGGAAAAATATATTTCATAAATATGGAAACCAAAAGAAAGCCGGTATAGATATATTTATATCAGATAACATATACTTCAAGCAAAATCCTATAAAAACAGACAAATATGGCCATTATATAATGATAAAGGGGTCAATATCACAAGATAATATAATTGTAAATATATATGCCCTCTATATTGAAGCCCCTAAATATATAAACCAAACATTAATAGATCTAACAGGAGAAACAGCAAGCAATAAAATAATAGTAAGAAATCTAAACATTCCACTTTCAGCAATAAACAGATTATCAAGACAGAAGATCAACAAAGAAACATCATATTTAAAATGAACTCTAGACCAAATAATTTAGTAGTCATTTACAGAACATGTTATCCAACAATTGCATAATTCACAGTCTTCTCTACTGCGCATGGAACATTTTCCATGATGGATCATATATTAGGCACAAAATGAGCCTTAGCAAATTCAAAAAAGATCAAAATTATATCACGTCTTTTCTGACAATATAGAATAAAACTAGAAATAAACAACAAGAACTTCAGAAATTGTGCAAATACATACAAATTAAACAATGTGTCCTTAAACAATGGGTTAAAAAATAAATTTTGTTTCATTTTAAAATTTCTTAAGACAAATGAAAATGAAATCAGAACATATAAAAACTTAAGAAATACAGCAAAAAAAGTCCTCAGAGGGAAGTTTGCAGAAATACATTTCTATATGAAAAAAAGAAAACTCTCATTAATAACTTAAGAATGTATTTCAAGGAATCATAGAAACATGAACAAACTAAGCCCCAAATTGGTAAAAAAGAATACAAATAATAAAGAATAGAGCACAAATAAACAAAATGGAGACAAAAATATGAAAGATCAATGAAATGAAAAGTTATTTTTTGAAAAGATAAACACAATCGATATGTATTTAGTCAGATTAAGAAAAAGAGAAGATTCACATAAATAAAATCAGATGAAAAAAGACATTGAAATGGTTACTACAGAAATACAAAGAATCATGAGAAAGTACTACAATTATATGCCAATAAATTAGAAAACATAGAAGAAATAAATAAGTTTCTGAACACATATAACCTATCAAAATTGAAGAATGAAGAAACACAAAATGCAAACAGACCAATAACAAATAATGAGATTGAAGCATTGTCTCTCAATACAAGAAAATCTGGAGGGCCTGTCACAGTATCTCACACATGTAAACTCACACTTTGGAGGCCATGGCAAGAGGATTACTTGAAGCCAGAAGTTCCAGATTAGCCTGGGGAACATAGTGAGACCCAGTCTTTACAAAAATAAAAATAAAAATTAGCCAGGTGTAGTGGTGTGCACTTGCAGTCCTAACAACGGGAGGCTGAGGCAGGAGGATCACTGAAGTCCAGGAATTTGAGGCTGCAGTGAGCTATGATTGCACCACTGCACTCCAGCCTGAGTGACAGAGGAAGACCCTGTCTCTAAACCAAAAATATTTAATAAGAAGAAGAAGAAGAAAGAAAGAACAAAAGAAAGAAAGAGAAAGAAAGAAAGAAAGAGAAAGAAAGAAAGAAAGAAAGAAAGAAAGAAAGAAAGAAAGAAAGAAAAAGAGAGAAAGAAAGAAAGAAAAAGAAAGAAAGAAAAGAAAAGAAAAGTAAAGTTCAGGATCCGATGCTTACACTGCTGAATTCTTCAAAACATTTAAAGAGGAACTTATAGTAATTATTTACAAATTATTACAAAAAAAGTGAAAAGGAGGAAACTCTTCCAAACTCATTCTATGAAGACACAATTACCATATTCCAAAATGAGACAAGAACAGTAAAAAACTAAACTACAGGCCAATATCACTGATGAACATGAATGCAACAATTCAAAACCAGCAATGCTAGCAATCATAATTTGGAAGTGCATTAAAAAGATGATTCACCATAATCAGGTTGTATTTGTTCCAGGGAGGCAAGGAGGGCTTATGATATGTCAATCAATAAATGTGATACACCACATTTGATAAGGGAAGATAAAAAAATAGTCATTTAAATAGATACAGAAAAAGTATTTGACAAAATTCAATGTTTTTTGTAAACATAAGATCTCTTAACAAATTAGTTATAAAAAGAACATAGCTCCATAAAATAAAGGCCATATATGATAACCCACAGCCAACATGATACTGAATAAGGAAAAATTGAAAACTGTGTCTCTAAGGTCTAGAACAAGACAAGGATGTTCACTTTAATAACTTCTCTTCAACATAGCACTGGAAGTCCTAGCCAGAGCAATTAGGCCAGCAAAAGAAAAGACATCCAAATTGAAAAACAAAAATAAAGTCAAATTGTCCCTGTTTGCAGATGACATGATCTTATGTATAAAAAACCCTAAATACTCTACTGAAAAAACAGAAATAGTAAATGAATACAGTAAAGTTTTAGAATACAAAATCAGCATAGAAAAATCAGTCGCATTTCTATACCCAACAGCATACCATCTGAAAAAGGAATCAAGAAACCAATCCCATTTAAAATAGCTATAAAAAAATGCCTGGGAATAAACTAAGCCAAATAAATATGTCTAAAATGAAAACTATAAAACATTGATAAAAATCAATTGAAAAAGATACAAATAAAGGGAAAGTTATCCCATTTTTATGAATTAGAAGTATTAATACTGTTAAAATGACCATCATACTCAAATCAGTCTATAGGTCCAATACAATCTCTAACAAATTTCCAATGTAATTCTTCAGAGATGTTAAAAAAGGTTTTAAAAATCGTTCTGCGGATGTTAAAAGGATTTTTAAAACGCTTTTTTCGTTCTGCAGGCGAAGGCTGTGGCCGTGCTCCCGCCGGCCAGTTCCCAGCAGCAGCGCATTGCCCCTGCTCCACGCCTTCGCTCCAGGCCCGCAGGGGCGCAGCCCCGCGGGAATCAGCACTGAGCCGGTCCCGCCGCCGCCCCAGTGTCCGGGCTGCGACTGCGGGGAGCCGATCGCCCAGCGATTGGAGGTGGGCGACGAGGCCTTCCGCCAGAGCGAGTACCAGAAAGCAGCCGGGCTCTTCCGCTCCACGCTGGCCCGGCTGGCGCAGCCCGACCGCGGTCAGTGCCTGAGGCTGGGGAACGCGCTGGCCCGCGCTGACCGCCTCCCGGTGGCCCTGGGCGCGTTCTGTGTCGCCCTGCGGCTCGAGGCGCTGCGGCCGGAGGAGCTGGGAGAGCTGGCAGAGCTGGCGGGCGGCCTGGTGTGCCCCGGCCTGCGCGAACGGCCACTGTTCACGGGGAAGCCGGGCGGCGAGCTTGAGGCGCCAGGCTAGGGAGGGCCGGCCCTGGAGCCCGGCGCGCCCCGCGACCTGCTCGGCTGCCCGCGGCTGCTGCACAAGCCGGTGACACTGCCCTGCGGGCTCACGGTCTGCAAGCGCTGCGTGGAGCCGGGGCCGAGCGGCCACAGGCGCTGCGCGTGAACGTGGTGCTGAGCCGCAAGCTGGAGAGGTGCTTCCCGGCCAAGTGCCCGCTGCTCAGGCTGGAGGGTCAGGCGCGGAGCCTGCAGCGCCAGCAGCAGCCCGAGGCCGCGCTGCTCAGGTGCGACCAGGCCCTGTAGCTGTGACTTGGCTGTGGGGCTGGCCCGCCTCCCTGACCCCTGTCAGGCGGAGCAGCTGGAGCTGACCCACGGGCCTGGGCTTTCGAGCGCTTTGTCCAGGCGCTAATGATGGGAAGGTGAAAGGTGGGGGTGGCCACACCCTGCAGTCAGGGTGGCAGGTGTCAGAGGCCACATGCAACCCACTGGTTTTGTCTTTTCCAGGATGCTGATAAGTTTCCCGCGGCCCCCGGAGCAGCTCTGTAAGGCCCTGTAATTGCCTTTCGTTCCCTTCTGCTCTATTGAGGAGTGGGAAGATGACAAAGTGTTTTTGCTCAACCCGAAGGAAAATGCACATGGGAGGACACACCGGGTTACTATTTGAGTAGCCCAGACAGGAGAGCAGCGGTCTGCTTCAGCCATGAGACCACCTCAGGCGAAAATAGACTTGTGGTTGTTTTACTTCTTTTCACCAAATGGGTCTTTTTGGGGTTTGTGGTGTGTCCCATGTAACGATGATCTCTTGGTTCCCCTTTCTCATTCACACCCGGGAGCTGAGGTGGGGGGTGGGGGGCAGGGAGTGGCCACCTGCGCCAGGTGTGAGAGAAGCCACACCTGAGACCAGCCCCTCTGTCCTCCTGCCTCTGCATCGAGCGTCCCTGCAGGAGGCAGAAGGGGTGAAAAGTAGCCTCGATATTAAAGTGCTTGTGTGTCCCTGAGGGGGTAAGCAAGTCACAGTCGGGACACTGGTTCCTGTCATCAGGTGTAGCACAAAGAAGGACCCCAGGACATGGGGTGCAGAAGGGAGCACAGAGAGGGTGGGTGCTACTGGGGTGCACAGGCAGCTTGAGGAGGATGCAGATGGCAAACTTCCCTTTGTCACGCCAGGTGCATGTTTAGGGCCGGAGGACCACCAGATCCCCAAAGCCTCCGGTGCTTCTGAGGCAGAGGAGAGGCAAGGCCAGTGGCTACCGGTGTCCAGGGACCTGGCAGCCACCACTGAGGCCTATCTGCTTGTCCCTCAGCCCACTGGCGGCCACACTCCAGGTCTCTGGGCTCTGCCTAGGACGTGTGTTTGGGCTTCTCTCCCGAGCAGAAATCATCTGCGTACCCTCTGCATCCCATGGATTTGCTTTGTTTCTGAGGGAATAATTAAGGAATGTTAGTATGACATCCGAAAATAGCTAATTATGGTGAAGAGCTAACAGGGCGATCTGGGAAGTTGTGGAGCTCTAGTTAGTGATGACAGAAGAGGAACATATTTGACTGTTTTGTGCTACACCCAGGTTCTCAGGAGGTGGCAAGGGAGGAGACTTGGCACTGTGCCATGCTCAGAGCCCCTGGTCCCAGGGACTCTGTTTCCCTGTGGGAGTTTGGATGAGAGACAGTTGGCTGGGAAGCTCAGGGTGGAGTGAGGAAGAACAAGTTGAGGTTCTTGGGTTGGAAAGATCTAGTACCCCAGGAGGGGCTGGATGTGGCCTGCGCCCACCCCAAACTCACACACTCTGTCATGCTCACACAGACACACACACTCACACACACTCATAGGCCCAAGCTCACACACCACACTTACATGGCTTATTCACACACTTACACACATTAACACACATACGCACTCATATTTACACATCCACACGCAGTTATATTCCACATACACACTCATACTCCCAAGTTCAAACACCATTATTTCTTCACAAACATTCACACAATAACTCACATACACACTCTCACACATGTACACACTCACCCACACACTCTCCATTACACACATTTACCTGTCTGTTCTCACACACATGCACAAACACAAAGCCAAATTAGAGCCATTTTCCTGGTCCCACACAAAGAAAACTGATACCTCAGTTTCTTGGTCTTGACCAGAACTGGGTGCATGATTCCATCCAACCACAAGGTGGGGTGGGAATGAAATCCTATCACGTCCTCAGGCCGTGGAGAAAAAAAAAAAAAACTATGTCAGGCCTCTCTAATGCCTCCCACAAATGAGCAGGAGGGATTGAAACAGAAAAGGGGTTCCTCCTGACATGTGGCATTGATGGAGCCCGGTTCTGCCTCATGCCAAGCCCTGCCTTGCCCCTCGATGATGGAAAATGGTTGTGTGTCTTGTTTCCTGGCCCCCATCTCTGTCTCGGTACAGAGTAGAGATTTGAGTCTCAGTTTCAAAGACAGGAGTCCCACTAAGCTGACCCACCCACTGACAGATGAAATCTTGCCATCTGCTGACCAAGTTCCCCAAGGCCCCTTGAGACTCAATTTCTGAAGAGGGTCTGCTCAGAATTCCCCGTCCCCATGATCTGCCCGGCTGTCGGGACACTGGTGAGCCTGCTCAGTGGGGAGTCCCTTTTCAGCTCAGTCAGCAAGCGGCTCTTCTCTATAAAGAGGCAGGGGATGAACCTCCTCTCTAGTTTTAGCAGCAGAGGCCATGGGACCCATGGCAGAGGCCAGAGCTGTGCAGGCTGTAGGAGGTACCATGTCAGGGATTTCAAACGGAGGAAGGTACTTTCCAGAGAGTACTGCAGGGAACCAAGCCATATCCACCGTAGCTGCAATAAAGCCTCTGAGGCTCAGCTTAAACTCAATCTTAGAAATGAAGTCCCAGCACAAGCTTTGCAGGATAAGCAAAATCTAGAGAAGAGAAAATGCAGACCCAGTCAATGATAAATATAAGTCATCTGGACCAGCACAGAGCAGATACAGTGCCTTCTCCACATGCAGTGAATGAGGTTCTCACGTCTGTTAGTGTGTGGAATTGAACATCAGTATCAGAATCATTCTGTGTTACCTACAGCTGGTTTTATGTTGTTATGCCTGTCACCTGATGAATGTGTATCTTTAGCCAACCCTTTCACCCCAAAGCTCCTGCCCCAACCCCTCCTCCTGGAAGTGCCCATCGCTGGTCTCGGCAGGAGGCTGTTCTTCCCAGCCTGTGGGGTGGCCACCTTGCAGGCTGTAACCCTCTACAAGAAATAAAGTCTTCTCTCCTTTTCCAAATTTCGATATTCACTTAATCCTTAGCTTCTATTTTTCAAGATTTTAAACTGCTTTTAGGTCATGGCCTCTTCTCTGTAGGGTCTGGAGGCTGAGAGATGTTCAGCAGGAAAGAGCTGCTAACTGATTCCAGTAGCACTGCTCTTCTGCCTAACGGAGGTGTTTAAATGTTGATTTTGGCAAAATCTATGAGCAGGTTGCTCCCCATCTCCCGAGATCTCTCACAATACTTTGTAAAACCCAATTTAGCGCATCGTCTGTGAGAGCAGCTTTTACTGGTTCTGCAGCGATCTTCCTTACTCATAATCTATTGAAATATTGTAAAGCGATGCAGATTTGTGGCATGTGAGGAGAGCATGTAGACACACACTCCGCTGTGATTCAAAGTGCCCTAACACCTTCCTCTTCCCTACAGGCTGTGATAGGAGGGTGCTCTGGGTCACTGAAGAAGGGGAGTCATAAAGGAGCAGAGGCCCCACGTCGTGAGTGCCATCTCTCCTTGAGTGTGGCCTCTTGTTCTAGCCCACAGGCCCACCATGGTCTGACTAAATGCTGGCACTGCTCATACATCCACTTTTAAAAATTGAGTTGAACATGAGAACATGATCATTCATATTTTATCCATTTGCATGTATTCAATAACATCCTTTCCCTGTTCTCATCTCTGCTTTACTGCCTTTTTGTTTAAAGAATGAATGTTTCCATGTTTTATATCCACAGAATTTCTGGCTTTTCCCTTTGGAGTCCAAGGAGCAAGGGCAGAATGAGGAACAGGATGTTTCTTACAGACTCATGAGGCCGCAGCACAGAAACTGCAAGAAATGTCAGTCATAAAGTGTCCCAGTGCATTTTAAATTGATGATTATTAAAATCCTTCTTTATCTATAGGGGATCTAAAAAATTAAACAACTCATAATTTAAACACGGTTGCCAGGTAGCCTGAGTCAAAAATCAGGAGAGGCTCTGTGGTCTGAAGTCTCCTATTGCTCACCTTGATGAGGGTCTAGTTGCCTAATGGGTTGGTGTAATGATGTCATTCGACACAAGCAAAACACAACTCCCTTGGAGTTGTTCAAAAAATCAGGAAATAGAAAAAAAATAAGGGAGAATAAAATATTGACAGGAGAGAAAAATGAAGAGTTACTTGGAGATTTGAAGGAGGTGAAATGGGCAAAAAGTAAATTTAGCAACTAGAATTTAAAGTCAGTGGATAATTAAGTCGAATAATTTATTCTTATGTCCATGTACTTTGGTTTTAAAGTTTTGATTAATACTCATTCAACACTAATTTCTAACAAATTAGAATATTTCCACATTGTCTATTTTTACCAGTGAGCTTGTAATAAAGATCCGCTAGTAATTTTAGTACATCATAACCTTTCAAAAGAAGCCCATAGAATAAACTAATTTTTAAAGAGTCACATTTTATTCAATGTCTATTTATACATGTTACTAGCAATAAACTCTTTTATCTTTAATTTTGAGAAGCTTTACAAATACAGAAAAGTAGAATGACTAATACTCCCGGTAGCCAGGACTCAGATTGGAAAAATAGGTCTAATCGGTTGTTACACTGTGTTTATGTCATACATTTCACTTATTTTTATCAAATAAAAATTAGAATTTATAAAATGTTGATTAAAAGGAAAACAGTAAAGTTTAGTCCCATGTTTCTTCCTCCAAATCTCTTTGTTCTACATTAACAGGTCAGGAGAAGTATGGATGGGGAGGCTGGAAAAGGGGCATCCTTCCCCATGCGGTCCCCAGAGCCACCTTCTCCAAGCAGGACTTGGGGAACATCCTCCTCCATCCAGGACCTAAGGGGTGTCCTTTTCTGTGCTTCCTTGGATGGCAGCCTTTCCTGTGCAGTCATTCAGAAAGTCAGGCTGACACATGTTGTCGTCTTGAACTCTGGGTGAATCCCTTCATGTTTATAGTGATTTACCATTAAATCACTGTGCCGTTTTTTCCTAAAATATATGGGGCGTGTTTTTTGTTCTGAGTTATCTTAGTCCTTTGGTCGCTAGCTCCAGTTTTTTGTAATTTCTTTTGCAACCTAATATGTGTCCCATTTGGTAAGTATTACATATACTAGAAAGTGACGTATATTCAGCATTTGTTGTGATTTTAAAACCTTTTATAAACACGTAACATCTTTGTCTATTTCCCGTTTAAATTCAGAAGTATGGGTTCCAGCGTCCCTCTCTAGACCTGCTCTATCCTGTTAGTTTCTTTGTATGTCCTGGAGGCGAGGCCAGCATTGGACTTGACGTTGCTTCACCTACTCGGTTCTATTGTCCATCCATGTGCAGTGTCTATCCTGTTGTTTATTATTTCTTCCTTAAATTTTATTTGAACTAAATTAATTTTGTGATAGCAGCTTGCTTTCTGTGAATATTTACTTAAAATTTTTATAAAATTTTTATTTTTTTATTTCTTTAATTTGAAAGTGCTGCTTTGTTATTGATAATTTTGTATTTTAATATATGAGGTTAATCCCTCTATGTTTGGTAGGAAAAAGTGATATATTTGAACTTATTTCTATCATTTGATTTTGGATTTTGTATTTGCAAAGCTTTATCCTCAATTCTCTTTTCCTTTTTTCAGATTTCTTTTCTTTTCTCTTTTTTTGGGGGGACAGAGTTTTGCTCTTATTGCCCAGGCTGGAGTGCAATGGGGAGATCTCAGCTCACCACAACCTCCGCCTCTTGGGTTCAAGCAATTCTTCTGCCACAGCCTCCAAGTAACTGGGATTACAGGAATGGACCACCATACCCGGCTAATTTTGTATTTTTAGTACAGACAGAGTTTCTCCATGTTGGTCAGGATGGTCTCGAACTCCCGACCTCAGGTGATCCACCCACCTTGGCCTCCCAAAGTGCTGGGATTACAGGCATGAGCCACCACGCCCGGACTTCCAGATTTATTTTCCATCAACATTTCATTTTCCACTTCCTTCCTATGCTGGCTTGCAGGCTTTCCAGGCTATTTACCTTTATTTAGTGTCAAAAATTCTTTTGGGAACTTTTGAGTTGTCAACCAATAGTTGTAAGCATATTGGATATTGCTGTTTTTCTCCTGGTGCTCTGGTTATAATCTCTCCTATTAATACCTGTAGTCTTATTGTTGTAGTTATTTTTTCTATTGATTTCTGAGATATAATAATTAGAATTGTCATATTGTGGATTTATGCATTTATCCTTTTAATTCAATAACTTTTGCTTCATGTATTTTGCTGTGTTTCTTAGGTGCATGCATGCTTATGCTTATTAGGTTTTCTAAGCAAATGGGCTTATTGGTATAAAACATCCTTCTTTATCCCTGGTGATACTTGCCTTTCTTGCAGTGTGTCTTACCTGCCATTAATACACTGGCTGCAGTTTTTGATAAAAAAGATTGCATAGTGTATATTTGTCCATCTTTTCAGTTCGAATCTATTTATATCTTTATCTCATAAGTGTATTTCTTTTTAAAAGTGGATATTGAGGTTTCCTTTTTACCTACTTTGACAGTCTGTGTTCCGCCTTCCTGATCTTCTTCTGGATTATTGCAGTTTTGGTTTGTTTGTTTGTTTTATGGGGTTTTCTTTTTTTTTTTAGTATGGATTTTGTACCCTGTTTTTTTTTTTTTAACTATGACTTTGTTTCATTTATTTATTTTTGGTGAGTTGTTCAGAAATTAAAATATAAATACTTAATGTATATTAAATATCATAACACTGTATATAAAATATAAAAACCTTACCTTACCATCCTCTCATCTTTTGTGCCATGTTGTCATAGATTTTTCTTCTGTACGTGTTGTAATTCCTGGAGGATGTCATCCAAACAGTAATTTCCCCTCCACATATTTACTATTTTTGGCACATTTTCATCTTTTCTGTGAACTAGAATTTCCAATTATTATTTTTCTTCATCCTGATCAAGTTTCTTTTGCATTTATCGTGGTTTGGGTTCGATGGCAACACAGTCTCACAGACTTTCTTTAACTGAAAATGTACTTTTCTCAACTTCAGTTCTGAAGGCTGCTTCAGCAGGTTCAGAATTCTAGGGACACTTTTGACTTTGAACAGCATCTCTGGGTACCATCTAACATATTATTATATCCAGTTGTGTCAAATCTGTCATCGGCCATAGAACCCTTTGACAGGTGCTTCTTGTTGCTTCAGTTCTAAGTATTTCATAGTCTTCAGAGACATGGAGAAGTAGCAGTGCTAGTAACAGTACTAGTGAAACCAGGTTAAGCCCTAAAATAATTAAGAAGCCATTGCATGCACACACGTGAACGTTTGACTTCAGCTAAAATGCTTTCAAATGTACTATTTTATCTTTATACAAGGCCATAACACAAATTACAATTTTAAAAATACTTTCACTTTACATATGTGAAAACTGCAGCTCAAAGAATTTAAAAGACAAGATTGAAATCCCATGAGTAGGTAAAGATGGTCAAGTCTGGAGCCCGCATGTCTTGGTGCCCCCCACACCCTGTTACAGAGAGTGCGAGGCTTCACCAGAAAGCTCTTTCGGCTCAAGGATTAGCTCTGGGGAAGTGCAGCAGGCAGGCCTGCTTTGCAACCTTTTTTCCAGCAGAAATCCAATGTTTGTTCACGTTTCTAGTTCTTTTAGTTTTGTTTTGTTTCTTACCAGTATGGCTCTGGGAGTTATTTACAAAATTTAATTTTAAAAGAGACACTCCCCATCATTAGGGTTCCTTGGAAACTTATAAAAAAATAAATAAATACTGGTAGATGAGAAACTTCTGCAAAATTGTTAGTTATATGTGTAATACATCTAATTGTAACTAAAGAAATGTGTATTACGGTAATAATTTAATTTATTATTGTCATTTTCTTGCCAGATTTGAGGGCATTTTTTTAAGCTCTCCACATGTGGTTTACTGTGGACCAAACACTGGCAGCTTCAGGCTTACAATCTGCTGACAAATCCTTCTTAGTTCGTTCACTTTGAAGAATGTGAGCATGCACTGCTCATGTGCGTGGCAAGCATGCAACCTGATCAGGAGAAGGACAGTGGCCACTCACGTCATCAGGTGAACTTGTGACGAGGCCATCAAGAGGCTGCACATGTGCTCCAGAAAATGAAATTCCCACTATCAACCTATTTTCCATTTCCACCCAATGGCCCACCCCTGCTCCAAAGCCGTGTCTCCACCTCTTAGGAATGCTTGATTTTCAGTATTGCTGAACAGGGGTCAAAGAAAACAAACTGAACAAAGAAACAAATAAAGCCTTTAACCCGGGAGCAAAGACACAGCACCTCCCCACTCCGCAACAGCTCCAGAGCTGCACAGCTGCTGCCAGAGCCTGAGCACAGGCCTGAACTCTGGCCCATGGATCTCACCAATGCATTTCTTCCCTCTGTGCCAAAAAAAGTATCGATAAATGGGATTCATTTACTTGGGACATAAAATAATGTATACCTATAGTTTTCTCCCAGAACTGTGTAAACCGGCATGCTGTCTGCCACAATACAGTCCTCACCCTGCATCAGGAGCTCAGATGGGGGAAGCCAGCAGGGCTGGATGCCTGAGAGTCACAGGTGCTTGGAGGGGAGAGAAAAGCACCACGGAGAGCCAGGCCCTGCCTACAAGTCACATTTCTAGGGGTCTAATGGTCTGGGCAGGCTGGGAGATGCTCTCTAAAGGAAAGGCAAGAAATATTGCCCCACGTCTCCCACCACCAAACAGAAAGTGCAGGTGGTCAGCCCCAGGGCTCACCTGCCCTTTGCCAGGGTCATGAGTCAGGCCCAGGCTGCGCCCTCCACACAATCCTCAAGGAGAGTTCCTGCCAGGCTGGGACAACTGCACTGGGACCTGATGCCCTGGGAAGGACAGGGTTGCATTTAACAGAAACAGCTAAACCTGAAGGGATGAGTTTGCCTTTCCCCGGGGCCATGGGATGGTTTATAGAAAGTTCTACCCATCAGGACAAGACCTCACATGACACCATCAGAGGAACTGATTTCACGCCACAGAGGGAGGAAGAGGGCACATGCCATAGGTCCACTGGTCACAGCACACACATGCTCCTGGGAGCTTCAGACCCAGCAGTGTGGCACAGGTGCCAGGTCAGGATGTGGGAGGACACAGTGTCTGCATGAATCTGTCACCTTTGTTAGCTGCCTTGTCCCACCAGGTAGAAGATGTGGCAATTGGAGCACAGCAGTAGGAAGCCCAGTGTCCCCCAACCTTCCACATCATACCCAGGACCTCTGAGGTGCATCTATATCCTGCACATCTAGGCTCTGAAAAGCAGGAGGTCCTGGTTTCCACAGCTGTGGGGCTTCTAGCCAGGGCAGGGCCAGGTTCTCTGAAAAAAACAAGCTCTGGGTGCTGCTTTGTCCTCAGGCTGCTCCTCCATGGGACCTGCGGGCAGAAAAATGGGTACCACCTGGACCATGGTGTCAGCAGGAGCAGGGCTGCGCTGCCTGGGAAGAAAGGGCTCCACGCAAGTACCTCCTGGTACACAGCACTTGATGGCATGTGGACAAGTGCGGGAGCCCTAGACCAAGGACTCTGTGGTGGGCAAGGCTGAGGGCCCCTTAGGGGTGAGGGCCTGGGTTACACCACCAGGGGGTCACCAGGACCCTCAGCAGAAGGTGGAGGGGGTGGTGATCATTACCTGTGCAACCCTGAGATGGGTGGCAGCCACAGAACCTAGGGTTCATTGAACCCCCCTTTTGTAACTAGTGCCCAGGAAAAGGCCTAGAATTTAATAAAGACAAGGCCCCTGTCAGTGGAGTGCTGGATGGGGCGCACCCCCTGGGGCACACCTGAACCTCCCCCAGGGCCTTGGCTGTGAGCTTTGATTGTAGACACACCTATGCCACGGCCCCTTCAGACTGCTCCCTTCACCTCTGAAAAACCAAACAGGATGCTTCTGTTCCTGGAAACGTGAATGCCCTTCGTGTGTTTTTTACTTTGACTAGAAACTCATCTGCAGCTGAAATATATGCAGAGACCTCGTGTGCTCCCAAGATTTCCAGGCATCTCTGAGAGTTTGCTTTTCAGTTCCCAGAAGGTGTGAGAGCTCCAAAGCATGTGCTGCTGGTTTCTCAACTTAGTGTATTTTAGCTCCCTGTGGACAGCATGTTTCTAGCCCCCTTGCACACGCTTGGATCGGATTTTTGAAAAAGCCAAGGGTGGGAGGCAGAATGATGTGGAATGGGCAGAAACTATGACTAAAGGCTGGCCTCATCCCAGGAGGAGATAGAATGCATTAGCCCAGTGACAGTGCCAGGGAACCCATGCGGCAGCCTAGGGAAGGTCATGGAATGGAGCTGGGGTTTTGGCTGTCACCATCCCAGGGTTAGACTCAGCCAGGTGAACAGCTGATTCTCCTCCACAGAACCCTTGGGCTGGCACAAAACATGCAATTCACAGTGAGAGAAAGACCATTCCTGTCCACCCCTTGTAGCCTCCACACACCTGAGCCCATACCTGACATATCCCAGAACAAGACTCCACAGCCATGCATCTGTTCTCTCCAGGGCATTTCATGATGAGAGAGGGATTTACTTAATATGATGAAAATAGAAGAGGAAATGACCTTGACAAGTACATAGTTCCACACCCGCCATCCAGGGCCTAGGAATAGTGCTCAGCCAGGGCCCGGCCCTTCTAGGGCTCTGGGAAGCTGCAGTGAAGGTGGGGTTGGGACAAGCAAGAGTGGCCATTTGCAGGCAGTGTGGGCACCAGGCCATCTGCAGGGGAAAAGCCCAGTGGGAGGATGAGACGACAGCAGAAACCTCGCAGGGGCTATGCACCCCCTCCCCGTGGGAAGGGGATACCCTCCCAGGTGGAGCCACTGTTTACATTGAAATCACTCAAGTCCATCACCAGGAAACACAAAGAGGACTGTCTTGCCAGAGATTAGTGATCTGGGACTTAAACAAAATGCCAGTCAGCAAATGAGAGGATTCTTAGTTCCACAGGCCTCATGTCTATAGTTGCAGTAAGCAAGACTGAACTCAGCCATGCTCACCTGCAGACACTGAGATGCTTGCTAGGAGGCTGTGGGGTGGAATACAAGACACGAGGGCTGACAAGGATGGGAAGAGCATCCCTTTCCTGGCCAGGGGCCTTGGCCAATTCAAAAATAGATAACATGGGGTCTCAGAGCTCCTGAGGCAAGAGCTACGTAGGCATTCAGAGATACCTGGATGATGGCATTGTCTTCAGTAGAACCTTGAAAAAGCACCAGGGACTCCCAGGCAACTTAGCTTAAATCTGTCTTGAGTAGAGCTGGTCTTTGGGATCTCCATCAAGTGGGTGATGCCTTTACCACCATGATAGCACATTATAAAGTTGGCCTTGCTAGCAGCAGGGACAGGCCTGATGTCACTGATCCTGAGGCAAGCATCTTATAAACCCATATAATTTAATTTTGCAAAGGCTCAAGCTCATCACTGAGATCATCCTTTGTATGATGATCCATGAGGCCACCGTGAACAGCATGGATGGACCCAGGCCATGGAGGGGCCCTCTTCATCCTGGATGAGGAGCCCACAGTGGCCATTGCCCCTCAGTCAGAATAAAATCAAGACAAAAGCAATCAGAAGACCCATACACCATGAGGCTGAGCCATTTTTCAAAGATGTCAAAATAGGAAAATACTAAAATGGAAGAAAACCCAGAATCCCATCCCCTGACTTGCTCCAGAGGCCTCCCCAACTCCAGGCCACCAGGAGCAGGGGCCCTGCAGAGGAACTCTCCCTGGGTAGAAATTCGCTGGTTTTTGCCTTCCACCAGATGTTGGCAACTTCAATTTCATCTTTTTTGGCATTAGAGCTAATGTTAAAATGACTCAGGTCAAAAAAGAGTGATGTGCTGCAGCCCTGACAATGCTCCCAGTGAGAATTTGTGCAAAACTCTTCCCTGGATCTACAAAACCAGGTCCAGGCAGGGTGTTGGGGCTGTGACGACTGCATCTCTGCCTCCTCCTCTCTGCAGTGCGGCCTCTTCACAGGCAGAGCATTCATTCCTCTTTAGCTTCTCACCAGCCCAGGATGCAGGGAAGAAGTAGCTTATCAGCACAGTCTTGGAATATTTTTACCTTACCAGCTGGGCTCCTATGAACAATGTGTCCAGCTATAGGTAAACAATGTGTGCAAATAATGTGAGAGTGACAGCACCATGTCAGAACCATGCAAGAAGCTGGCCAGAGGCACAAGCAGCAGATGGGATGCTGATGGGGGTGACCAAAATACAGTATGGGGCAGCTGCGTGCCATGATCAATCTGCAGGGGTAGGGGAAAAAATAACTCTCGGCCTGGCTAACATTTGCGTGGGGGAACAGTGACCCAAGTCCCCAGGAGAACGTTGAAGAGAACCACGGTTTATTGTGAAAGGGAAAAGTAACCGCAGAGGCAGAGTTTTCTTTCTGGTTCTAAGCAGATGGGAGGGGTGTAGCCTGCAGAACCAAGGGTGTGGGGATCCTAGAATGTTGGTGGTGGTTGTTCAGCAAAGGGCTTCGCTTCTCAGCCTGCAGAACTTTCCGCCTGTGAGTGTGGGTTACATCTATACATACACAGGAAATCATATACTCCCACTCAGCCGCCCACATCTAAACATGGTAGTATTAGGAAAAATAGGAAAGCAACATCCTACTAGATTACATTGCTTGCAGTGAAACCATTTAAACCCCTGAGCCTCTGTGTCACCAATTAACACTGTGTGTAAGGAGAATGCCTGCCCCGTGGGGGTTTGTAAAGACAAAATGTAAAAATAAAATGTAGGCTGGGTGCGGTGGCTCACGCCTGTAATCCCAGCACTTTGGGAGGCCGAGGAGCACGGATCACGAGATCAGGAGATCGAGACCATCTTGGCTAACATGGTGAAACCCTGTCTCTACTAAAAAAAAAAATAAATAAATAAATAATAAATTATAAAATAAAATGTAGTGTGCTTGGTAAACTAAAGTTCTAAATAAATATTAGTTGTTACTATTACTATGTCAGAAGTACTAGTCACAAGACTGGAATACTTCACTTGAATAAGAACTCAGTGCAAAGAAGTTGGACAAATCGGTGAGTTTGAAACTGCAACAGGACTAAAAATATGCCAATTAATTTATTAATGTATTCATATTTATTAACTTATTTATATTCAAATGAATTAAATATTTAGTGCATGCTTGGACCTGGGAACACACAGCCATCAGTGCCACACGAACTCTGTCCTCACTGCAGTTGTTTTCAGATGACCTCAGAGGAAAATAAGAGGGAAACCACTGGCAATTTCCTTCCGTTGATACCTTAGCTGACTACATAGCTCATGTTAGGTCGGTCTTAATGAGGAAATCAGAATATTCGGGGCTTCAGTATTAAAACTACAAATCTCTATAGCAAGCATTCAGAGCTCTTTGGATTAGACATCAGTGGCTGCAGTAATGTTACCTGAGAAACCCACACACTTTCTGAACACTGGCATGAGTATCCTTTCCTTTCGGTCCACTATATATGGAAAAACACTTTCACCCATCACCCTAAGTGTCCCAAACTGCAGAAGAGGCAGATAGTAGCCAGCTAGTCCCTGTCAAAGGCCCATTGCCTTTTTCTGGGTCAGCCTGGTCCACCCAGCCTGAGGTGCTCTCTGAGACAGCCTAGCCACCACGCCACATGCCCTTCAGCCTAATCAGAGCATCAGGATGCTGTGCACGGCCATTAGCTGGGGTGACTCAGAATTATCTGCTGTAGAACAGGGCTCTGAGTGAAGGATGTGGTCACTCAGACCACGTAGATGGTTCAAGCTCTTACTCCTCTGTCAGCTCAGAGCCTGCACAGTGGAAAGGAAGTGCATCTATTGATTTCTTGGCCAAAAGAACTAGTTAATACATTTTTAAAAACTTTGACATTTTGTTTTAAAGCAACAGTGGGCCTTGTTTAACTAAAATCTCATTTCTCCAGCCTAATTTTGCTGGAAAGGCCCCAAACCAAGGCAAGCCCCTGGAGGAGAGAGAGCAGCTAGGATGCTGGCACCAGATGGCTTTGTTCCCCAGCCTTCAATATACTCAGTTAGAAAATAACCACATCAGAGGTTTGATAAGATTATCCCCCAGGCCATTTTTCAGGTCTAAATGTTACCATATTTTATACGAGAATACGGTATTTGAATCAACTCTCAGGGGACCCAGCCTTCAGGAGACACTGAAGGAATACAGACATTTTTTCTAGCTTCAAAAGCATGGTTTGCAAACTGGCTTGTTCTTTGCCGGAGAAAACCACACACGTGGCCATTGATGCCCTTGATTGGCAGAGTTGATGGGATTTTCTCTGGCTCTCACCTTGAGGGCATCATCAGCATCCTGAAGTCACTTGCAGGCCTCTGTGCAGATGTCCTTTCGAGGGGCTTCAGGCTGTGGAAGTGACCAGTGAACACAGGACCTGCCTGGACTCCCAGCCTCACAGCACAGCACCACAGCCTGGACTGCCCTCTGCCTGATACTTGCTTGGTTTGGAACTTTACTCCATCAAAGCATCCAAATAAAAATATGTAGACTCCCCACCCTATCCCATCTGCTATAGGGTTCTAATTCCCCCACAGCCATCCCATCACAGTGCTTTCCCCCATGACGGGGGACCCCTGCCCTGGACTCCATCCCTCCCCTACTGGAAAAGCACAGGTGCTGTGGCATGAGTTCAACCGACTGAAATTCCCTGATCTTCACAGTAATAATTCTAAAATAGGGCAACAATACCCCTGTCAGTGTTCTTGGAAGAACCTCTCATTACTTGAGGCCCCAGAAATGCAAACACCCTCCTGTTTTCCAGTGTGCTGTCAACCCTGGCATCAGAGCTGTTCCTGCCATGGACACTGGTAATTGACTTACTGGAGAAAGTCAAGCTTTTAAGTCCCAGGAATAAAGGGTTCCTATTTCCTTAAGCTGTGTTTATTTTTACACCATTGCTGGTAGAGTCAATGTGTACTGAGTGAAGATGAGGCAAAAGTGTCAAAGAGTGATTTCCAATAAGATGAAAAGTGATCTGCAGTTTCCACTTCCTTAACCAGCAGGAAACGTCTCTCCTGTAGCAACGGACAGTGGAGGCAGTGGCGCTCAGTGTGGGGCCTCCTGGCTGAAGGAGGGGACAATATGGTGTCCCATCTCCCGAGATGCTGTATGCACCTCACCTGGCTGGTGATTTACTTGAAAGAAACCCATGTGTGGAGTAGGGAGTGCTGCCTTTGGCATCTACCCATGTCCTGCTCTGGACTCTGCCTCTTAGCAAGGGTGACTTGTGGGCCCAACTCACCTGGTGGCTGTGAGCCACTGCACTCCAGCCTGGGCAACAGAGTGAGGCCTTGTGTGAAAATAAAATAAAATAAAATATAAAAATAAAAATGAGCCAGGAATGGTGGCTCACGGCTGTAATCCCAGCACTTTGGGAAGCCGAGACAGGCGGATCACATGTGGTCAGGAGTTGGCGACTAGCCTGATCAACATGGAGAAACGCTGTCTCTACTAAAAATACAAAAAATTAACCTGGTGTTGTGGCTCATGCCTGTAATCCCAGCTACTCAGGAGGCTGAGGCAGGAGAGTCGCTTGAACCCAGGAGGTGGAGGTTGCAGTGAGCCAAGTTCCCGCCATTACACTCCAGCCTGGGCAACAAAAGCGAAACTCCGTCTCAAAAAATAAAATAAAAGACTTTAAGTCATTCATCAATTTTATGTATCTACTATTTCTTCTCCCATTCCATAAAGCCTACAGTCATACAACAGAAAGGGAAAATCAGGACAGCCACATATAAATAAAGGTGCAAAGTTGAGGCAGGAGTGGACCTTAAGGGCCAAGCAGAGGTCATTGCTGAGCCCTGGTCATTTAGCCCTGGGCTTTCTGGAAGCCAGAGTGAAAAGAGAGACACAATCAGCTGCATAAGAGTTATCAAAAAGCAGGAAGCGCGCTGGTTTTCCTGGTAGTAAAGCAAGGGCTTTCCAAGAATTTACCTCTAAAGTAATTTCTTTTGTTCTTTCTTTTTTCTCGCTCTGACACCCAGTTGGAGTGCAGTGGCACAATCAGGGCTCACTACAACGTCTGCCTCCCAGGCTCAAGCCATCCTCCCACCTCAGCCTCTCAAATAGCTGGGACTACAGGCACGCACCACCATGCCTGGCCAGTTTTTTGGTATTTTTTGTAGAGGTGGGATTTTGCCATGTTGCGTAGGCTGGTCTGGAACTCCTGAGTTCAAGCAATCCACCCACCTTGGCCTCCTAAAGTGCTGGGATTTCAGGCATGAGACACTGCGCCCAGCCTAAAGTAATTTCTTACTTGAGATTTTATTTCAGGCTACTGTGTCATGCACTGGGCAGTACAGCCTGGTGGGTGAGAGCACAGTGGTTTTTTTTGTTTTGTTTTGTTTTGTTTGTCTTCTGGGTTTGGGTTTGAATTTTAATACGTGCAATTTATTCTGTGCTTCACTTTCTTCATCTGTAACATGGAGATAACGGCGTCTACCTATTAAAGTTGTGAAGATTCAATTAGATGAGTTGTATGAATAAGTGTTAGCTGTTATTTTATTTTATTTATTTTTTTGAGACAGAGTCTCGCTCTGCACCCAGGCTGGAGTGCAGTGACGCAATCTTGGCCCATGGCAACCTCCGCCTCCCGGGTTCAAGCTATTCTCCTGCCTCAGCCTCCCAATTAGCTGGGATTACAGGCGCCTGCCATCATGCCCGGCTAATTTTTGCATTTTTAGTAGATCCGGGTTTTCACCATATTGGCCAGGCTGGTCTCGAACACCTGACCTCTGGTGATCCACCCGCCTCAGCCTCTCAAAGTGCTGGGATTACAGCCGTGGGTCACTGCGCCCAGCCAGCTATCAAGAAATCCGACTGCCTACTACTTAGCCTGCACAGTTTCAGGTGCTGGGGAAATAGTGATGAACAAGACAAACAAGATCCTCATCTTCAAGTAGCTTTTACATTCTAAGTGGAGTGAAAAAACAATAAACATTGAAAATAAATTTCAGAAAGTGCTGTGGAAAAACTTTACAACAGATGCAGGAATAGATTTCATTTGACTAGTTCTCCCAGTTTCCAGAAAAATCAAGGGTAGAATGTTAAAAGGCAACTCAGAGGTGAATCTGTTAGGGCCTACGGTAATGCAATCCTGGTTTGTGGAATTCCGCAGGCTAGTGTGGGTAGGTTACAATTTTGGGGGGAGGGCTTTATTTTGTTTGAAAATTCACTTCTTCCCGCTAAGCTTTTGATTAGGAGCTGAAGTTGAATCAGTTTGAAATTGTATTCTGGATCGAGTGCGGTGCTTCATGCCTGTAATCCCAGTGCTTTGGGAGGCCGAGGTGGGTGGATTGCTTGAGCCCAGGAGTTCGAGACCAGCCTGGACAAAATGGCAGAAACTCCATGTCTACAAAAAATACAAAAATTAGCCGGGCATGATGTTCTGCGCCTGTAGTCCCAGCTACTCAGGAGGCTGAGGTGGGAGGATCGCTTGAGCCCAGGAGGCGGAGTTTGCAGTGAGCTGAGATGTCACTGCATTCCAGCCTGGGAGACAGAGCCAGACTCTGTCTCAAAAGAAAAAAAGAAAAAAAAAAAAGAAAAGAAAAAACGAAATTGTATTCTGAATACATCTTCTAAAACACTACATTTACTTGCACTATATTAAACTGGTTTTATCCTGACCACAATTGCAGGTGAAAGATACCACTGTTGTTCTATTTTTCTGGTAAGTAGAGTGAGCCATGTCTTCCCCAGGGAAAGACGCCTCCTAAAAATTTGTAGGACCACCTTTGGTTTTCTTCCAGATATTTTTTTTGTCATCGCTTTTCCTGCGCCCAATTCCCATCTGTCTAGCCCTTCTGCCTCCGCTCGTCTTTTTCGCGAGCCTCTCCCCAGCCGCAGGTATTCGTCTGGGCTGCAGCCCCGCCCATCTCCTGGGGCGTGACCACCTGTCCAGGCCCCGCCCCCGTCCAACCCGCGGAGACCCGCCCCCTTCCCCGGACACCGGGTTCAGCGCCCGAGCGTGCGAGCGCGTCCCCGCTCGTCGCCCGGCTCGGCGTCGGGAGCGCGCTCTGTGTGGTCGCTGCTGCAGTGTTGTTGTGGCTGTGAGAAGGCGGCGGCGGCGGCGGAGCAGCAGCCGGACCAGACTCCCTAGTAGCTCAGGCGCTGCCCTGCGCCGGCCCTGGCAGGGAGCCTGGTGAGATGGTGGAGGAGGAGGCTGTGCCGTGGCTGGCCTTGCTGTGTCCTGCTGCCTGGTTAGAACCCCATCCCCGTCCCCCGTCTCCTCCGGGGGGTGAGGAGGAGCTGGAAGAGGGGCCGGCCTCTGTCCGGCCCGGCCAGGCGGCCGTCACCCTCTGAGGAGGCAGCGCCCGGGGAGGGGCCTCCCAGGCGGCCGCCGCCGCCAGGGGGAGGCGCTGGGAGTGGGAGTGGGAGCGGGACCTCAGCTGCCAAGCTCGGCCCGGACCCTAGGTGCGGGGGAGGCGGGGTCCCGGGCTCGGGCTGCCTGCCCGGACCTGGCGGGGATGGGCCCGTGCGGCTCCGGGTGTGGGACCTACCCTCAGAGCGCCCGGGGTTATTCCCACTGACTCCAGGGAGGTGAGTGTGCGCCCTTCGCTCCCTGCCGTGTCTGTGAGGGTCCATCGTTGCCGGAGACTGGAGGTCGGGGGCCATGGGAGCCCCGGGGCGAACGGTGCGGACATGGGCCTTGTGGAAAGGAGGAGTGACCGCCTGAGCGTGCAGCAGGACATCTTCCTGACCTGGTAATAATTAGGTGAGAAGGATGGTTGGGGGCGGTCGGCGTAACTCAGGGAACACTGGTCAGGCTGCTCCCCAAACGATCACGGTGTTATTTCTCCGGTAGAAATTTTGCTTGGTGTATGGCACTTCCGGACCCATAAGATGATGTCAGTTGTATTTTGGGCTGGAAAAATTATGTCAAAATTATGGGGTAGATTTTATGGCCACATTAATAGACTCCCCTGGAGTTTGATAATCTCACTTGTGAGTTTTGGACATGAACTACTATTACATATTGATGTTCGAATGTCGTTTCCAGACCCAGACCTAAATTCTTACTGTTCTAGTATCTTGATATCCACTTTGTTTTCTGACATCTATTTTTCCACAACCCAAACAAACAAAACCCCAAAACCATATACTTTTCCAGTTGAGGTTCAACTTTCTCACAGTAAATCCCTTCCCATCTGGGATTACAGGAGTAATAGCAACACAGTGTGTGTTTATAGATAGCAGCAATAATACATTTATTATATATAATATAATAAATGTATTAATATTATATATTTGTATATATACAAATATATATAATTACATATATTTATTAAATATATAAGTAAAAATTTATTATATATAAATTTTAATTTATATATAAAATTACATATATAGTAATATGTATTGAAATACATATTACTATAAATGTAATATGTATTTCATTTGTGTATATGTCAATATACACAAATGGAAGCAATGACTACGTAATAAGTGCTAAGTCTTTTTTGTTCTTGTTGTTTTGAGATCAAGTGTCACTCTTGTTTCCCAGGCTGGAGTGCAATGGTGCAATCTCGGCTACTGCAACCACTGCTGCCCGAGTTCAATCGATTCTCCCCTCAGCCTCCCAAGTAGCTGGGATTACAGGTGTGTGCCACCACACCCGGCTAATTTTTGTATTTTTAGTAATTTTCCCCAGTGTGTGGCTTGGCTTTTCACTCTCTAAATGGTGTCTTTTGATGAACAGAAATTGTTAATTTTATGAAAGTTTAATTTATCAATTATGGTTAGTTATAGTTATGTACAATTTGGAAAATCATTGCCTATCCCAACATTATAAAAATAATGTCCTACATTCTTTTTTAAGAGGTTACATTATTTTACATTTCTCAGCAGGGTCTCAGATCTAGTTGATGTGATTTTTTCAAATCACAAACTCACTTTTGTATAGGGTTTGAGGAGGGGTCAAAATAAATTTTTCCTCATAGATATCCAGTTGATCCAGCACCTTTTATTGAAAAGGCCATTCCTCACACTAAATTGTAGTAGTGCTTTTGTCAAAAATCAGGTGACTGTATATAGAAAGGTCTGTTTCTGATCTGTTTTCTGTTTTATTATTCTAGGTGTCCATGCTTGTTCTAATACCTTACTATTTGATTTACTTTAGCTTTATACCAAGTTTTGATGTTTAATCATGTAAATCCTCAACCTTTGTTCTTTTTCAAAGTTATCTTGGCTATTAAATTCTTGGTATTTCTAAATATAGTTTTAAAACAGTGTCAGACAATGCTTTTTTATTATTTAAAGATGAGATACTAAGTACCTGAACACAATGACAAATTCTATGATCTTCTGAAACTAACCTCCGGGTGTGAGAATTTGAAGGTTAGTGGATAGAAGATGGCCGAATAGGAACAGCTCCGATCTGCAGCTCCCAGTGAGACCAACACAGAAAACAGGTGATTTCTGCATTTCCAAATGAGGTACCTGGTTCATCATCATTGGCACTGGTTGGACAGTGGGTGCAGCCCACAGAGGGTGAGTTGAAGCAGGGCAGTGTGTCACCTCATCCGGGAAATGCAAGGGGTCAGGAGATTTCCTTTACCTATCCAAGGGAAGCTGTGACAGACTGTACTTGGAAAAATGGTACACTTCTGCCTAAATACTGTGCTTTTCCCATGGTCTTAGCAACCAGCAGACCAGGAGATTCCCTCCCATGTCTGGCTCAGTGGATCCCACGCCCATGGAGCCTTGCTCACTGCTAGCACAGCAATCTGAGATTGACCTGAGAGGCTGCAGCCGGGTGGAGGGAGGGGGGTCTGCTATTGCTGAGGCTTCAGTAGGTAAAGAAAGCAGCCAGAAAGCTCAAACTGGGTGGAGCCCACCACAGCTCAACAATGCCTACTGCCTCTATAGGCTCCACCTCTTTGGACAGGGCATAGCTGAACAAAAGGCAGCAGACAACTTCTTCAGACTTAAACATCCCTGTCTGACAGCTCTGAGAGAGAAGTGGTTCTTCCAGCATGGTGTTGGAACTCTGAGAATGGACAGACTGCCTCCTTAAGGGGGCCCCTGATCCCCGTATAGCCTGACTGGGAGACATCTCCCAGTAGGGGCCGACAGATACCTCATACAGGTGGGTGCCCCTCTGCGATGAAGCTTCCAGAGGAAGGATCAGGCAGCAATACTTGCTCTTCTGCAGCCTCTGCTGGTGATGCCCAGGCAAACAGGGTCTGGAGTGGACCTCCAGCAAACTCCAACAGACATGCAGCTGAGAGGCCTGTTAGAAGGAAAACTAACAAACAGAAAGGAATAGCATCAATATCAACAAAAAGGACATCCACATTAAAACCCCATCTGTAGGTCACCAACATCAAAGACCAAAGGTAGATAAAATCACAAAGATGGGGAGAAACCAGAGCAGAAAAGATGAAAATTCCAAAAACCTAAGCACTTCTTCTTGTCCAAAGGATCGCAGCTCCTCACCAGCAACAGAACAAAACTGGACAGAGAATGACTTTGATGAATTGACAGAAGTAGGCTTCAGAAGGTCGGTAATAACAAACTTCTCTGAGCTAAAGGAGCATGTTCTAACCCACTGGAAGGAAGCTAAAACTCTTGAAAACAGGTTAGATGAATGGCTAACTAGAATAAATAGTGTAAAGAAGACCTTAAATGACCTGATGGAGATGAAAACCACAGCATGAGAACTTCGTGACGCATGCACAAGCATCAATAGCTGATTCAATCAAGTGGAAGAAAGGATATCAGTGATTGAAGATCAAATTAATGAAATAAAGTGAGAAGACAAGATTAGAGAAAAAAGAGTAGAAAGAAATGAACAAAGCCTCCAAAAAATATGGGACTATGTGAATAGACCAAATCTACATTTGATTGGTGTACCTGAAAGTGACAGGGAGAATGGAACCAAGTTAGAAAATATTCTTCAGGATATTATCCAGGAGAATTTCCCCAACCTGGCAAGGCAGGCCAACATGCAAATTCAGGAAATACAGAGAATACAACAAAGATACTCCACGAGAAGAGCAACTCCAAGACACATAATTGTCAGATTCACCAAGGTTGAAATGAAGGAAAAAATGTTAAGGGCAGCCAGAGAGAAAGGTCGGGTTACCCACAAAGAGAAAACCATCAGACTAACAGCGGATGTCTCAGCAGAAACCCTACAGGCCAGAAGAGTGGGGGCCAATATCCAACATTCTTAAAGAAAAGAATTTTCAACCCAGAATTTCATATCCAGCCAAACTACGCATCATAAGTGAAGGATAAATAAAATCCTTTACATACAAGCAAATGCTGAGAGATTTTGTCACCATCAGGCCTGCCTTACAAGAGGTCCTGAAGGAAGCAATAAACATGGAAATGAACAATCAGTACCAGCCACTGCAAAAACATGCCAAATTGCAAAGGCCATCTACACTATGAAGAAATTACATCAACTAAGGGGTAAAGTAACCAGCAAACATAATAATGACAGGATCAAATTCACACATAACACTATTAAATGTAAATGGGCAAAATGCCCCAATTAAAAGACACAGACTTGCAAATTGGATAAACAGTCAAAACCATCAGTGTGCTGTATTCAGGAGGCCCATTTCACATGCAGAGACACACATAGGCTCAAAATAAAGGGATGGAGGAAGATCTACCAAGCAAATGGAAAGCAAAAAAAGCAGGGGTTGCCATCCTAATCTCTGATAAAACAGACTAAACCAACAAAGATCGAAAGAGACAAGGTCATTACATAATGGTAAAGGGATCAATTGAACAAGAAGAGCTAACTATTCTAAATATATATGCACCTAATACAGGAGCACCCAGATTCATAAAGCAAGTCCTTAGAGACCTACAAAGAGACTTAGACTCCGATGCAATAATAATGGGAGACTTCAACACCCCAATCTCAATAGTAGATCAATGAGACAGAAGTTTAGCAAGGATATCCAGGATGTGAACTCAGCTCTGCACCACATGGACCTAAATAGATATCTACAGAATTCTCCACCCCAACTCAATAGAATATATATTCTTCTCAGCACCACATCACACTTATTCTAAAATTGACCACATAATTGGAGGTGAAACATTCCTCAGCAAATGTAAAAGTACAGAAATCACAACAAACTGTCTGTCAGACCACAGTGCCATCAAATTAGAACTCAGGATTAAGAAACTCACTCAAAACTACACAATGACATGGTAACTGAAGAACCTGTTCCTGAGTGACTACTGGATAAAAAATGAAATGAAGGCAGAAATAAATATGTTCTTTGAAACAACATACCAGAATCTCTGGGACACATGTAAAGCAGTATGTAGAGGGAAATTTATCGTACTAAATGCCCACAAGAGAAAGCAGGAAAGATCTAAAATCAACAGCCTAACATCAAAATTAAAAGAACTGGAGAAGCCAGAGTAAACAAATTCAAAAGCTAGCAGAAGGCAAGAAATAACTAAGATCAGAGCAGAACTGAAGGAGATGGAGATACAAAAAACCGTTCCAAAAATCAATGAATCCAGGAGGTGGTTTTTTGAAAAGATCAACAATAGATAGACTGCTAGCAAGACTAATAAAGAAGAAAAGAGAGAAGAATCAAATATGCTCAATAAAAATGATAAAGGGGATATCACCACCAATCTCACAGAAATATGAACTACCATCAGAGAATACTATAAACACCTCTATGCAAATAAACTAGAAAATCTAGAAGAAATGGATAAATTCCTGGACATACACACCCTCCCAAGACAGAACTAGGAAGAAGTTGAATCTCTGAATACACCAATAACAGGTTCTGAAATTGAGGCAATAATTAATAGCATACCAACCAAAAAAAGTCCAAGACCAGATGGATTCACAGCTGAATTCTACCAGAGGTACAAAGAGGAGCTGGTACCATGCCTTCTGAAACTATTCCAATCAATAGAAAAAGAGGGAATCCTCCCTAACTCATTTTATGAGGCCAACATCATCCTGATACCAAAGCCTGGCAGAGACACAACAAAAAAAGAGAAATTTAGACCAATATCCCTGATGAACATCAGTGCCAAAATCCTCAATAAAATACTGGCAAACCAAATCCAGCAGCACATCAAAAAGCTTATCCACCATGATCAAGTGGGCTTCATCCCTGGGATGCAAGGCTGGTTCAACGTACACAAATTAATAAATGTAATCCATCACTTAAACAGAACCAATGACAAAAACCACATGATTATCTCAATAGATGCAGAAAAGGCCTTCGACAAAATTCAACAGCCCTTCATGCTAAAAACTCTCAATAAACTAGGTATTGATGGAATGTATCTCAAAATAATAAGAGATATTTAAAACCCACAGCCAACACCATATCGAATGGGCAAAAGCTGGAAGCATTCCCTTTGAAAACCACCACAAGACAAGGATGCCCTCTCTCACCACTCATGTTCAACATAGTGTTGGAAGTCCTGGCCAGGGCAATCAGGCAAGAGAAAGAAATAAAGGGTATTCAATTAGGAAATTAGGAAGTCCAATTGTCCCTATTTGCAGATGACATGATTGTATATTTAGAAAACCCCACCGTCTCAGCCGAAAATCTCCTTAAGCTGATAAGCAACTTCAGCAAAGTCTCAGGATACAAAATCAATGTGCAAAAATCATAAGCATTCCTATAATGTTGCCGGAAGTCAGGGACCCCAAACAGAGGGACCGGCTGGAGCCGCAGCAGAGGAACATAAATTGTGAAGATTTCATGGACATTTATCTGTTCCCAAAATTAATACGTTTATAATTTCTAACACCTGTCTATACTGCAATCTCTGAACATAAATTGTGACGATTTCAGGGACATTTATCAGTTCCCAAATAGTACTCTTTGAATTTCTTATGCCAGTCTTTACTTTAATCTCTTAATTCTGTTATCTTCCTAAGCTGAAAATGTACATCACCTCAGGACCACTATTGTACAAATTGATTGTAGAATATGTGTGTTTGAACAATATGAAATCTGATTGTAAAACATGGGCGTTTGAACAATATGAAATCAGTGCACCTTGAAAACGAACAGAATAACAGCGATTTTAGGGAAGAAGGGAAGACAACCAAAGGTCTGACTGCCTGCGGGGTCAGGCAGAATAGAGCCATATTTTTCTTCTTGCAGAGAGCCTATAAACAGATGTGCAAGTAGGAGAGATATCGCTGAATTCTTTTCCCAGCAAAGAATATTAATAATTGATACCCTGGGGAAGGAATGGATTCCTGGGGGGAGGTCTATAAACAGCTGCTCTGGGAGTGTCTGTCTTATGCGGTTGAGATAAGGACTGAAATACGCCCTGGTCTCCTGCAGTACCCTCAGGCTTATTAGGGTGGGGAAAAGATCCCGCCCTGGTAAGTTTGAGGTCAGACCAGTTCTCTGCTCTCAAACCCTGTTTTCTGTTGTTTAAGATGTTTATCAAGACAATATGTGCACAGCTGAACATAGACCCTCATCAGTAACTCTAATTTTGCCCTTTGCCTTGTGATCTTTATTGCCCTTTAAAGCATGTGATCTTCGTGATATACTCCCTGTTCATACATGCTCTCCCCTTTTAAAGTCCTTAATAAAAACCGGCTGGTTTTGTGGCTCAGGGGGACATCACGGACCTATTGTTATGTGATGTCACCCCCAGAGGCCCAGCTGTAAAATTCCTGTCTTTGTACTCTTTTTCTTTATTTCTCAGGCCAGCCGACACTTAGGGAAAATAGAACCTACATTGAAATATTGGGGGCTGGTTCCCCCGATACTATAAACCAGTAACAGACAAACAGAGAGCCAAATCGTGAGTGAACTCCCATTCACAATTGTTACAAAGAGAATAAAATACCTAGGAATCCAACTTACAAGGGATGTGAAGGACCTCTTCAAGGAGAACTACAAACCACTGCTCAATGAAATAAAAGAGGACAAAAACAAATGGAAGAACATTCCATGGTCATGGATAGGAAGAATCAATATCATGAAAATGGCCATACTGCCCAAGGTAATTTACAGATTCAATGCCATCCCCATCAAGCTACCAATGACTTTTTTCACAGCATTGGAAAAACTATTTTAAAGTTCATATGGAACCAAAAAAGAGCCCACCTAGCCAAGACAATCCTAAGCAAACAGAGCAAAGCTGGAGGCCTCACGCTACCTGACTTCAAACAATACTGCAAGGCTACCGTAACCAAAACAGCATGGTACTGTTACCAAAACAGGTTATATAGACCAATGGAACAGAAAAGAGGCCTCAGAAGTAACACCACACATCTACAACCATCTGATCATGGCAAACCTGACAAAAACAAGCAACAGGGAAAAAATTCCCTATTTAATAAATGGTGTTAGGAAAACTGGCTAGCCATATATAGAAAGCTGAAACTGGGTCCCTTTCTTACACCTTATACAAAAATTAACTCAAGATGGATTAAAAACTTAAACGTTAGACCTAAAAACTATAAAAACCCTAGAAGAAAACCTAGACAATACCATTCAGGACATAGGCAAGGGCAAAGACTTCATGACTAAAACACCAAAAGCAATGGCAACAAAAGCCAAAATAGACAAATGGGATCTAATTAAACTAAAGAGCTTCTGCACAGCAAAAGAAATATCATCAGAGTGAACAGGCAACCTACATATTGGGTGAAAATTTTGCAATCTACCTATCTGACGAAGGGCTAATATCCGGAATCTACAAAGAACTCAAACAAATTTACAAGAAAAAAAACAACCCCATCAAAAAGTGGGCAAAGGATATGAACAGACAGTTCTCAAAAGAGACATTTATGCAGCCAACAGACACATGAAAAAATGCTCATCATTACTGGTCATCAGAGAAATGCAAATCAAAACAACAATGAGATACCATCTCATGCCAGTTAGAATGGCAACCATTAAAAAGTTAGGAAACAACAGATGCTGGAGAGGATGTGGAGAAATAGGAAAGCTTTTACACTGTTGGTGGGAGTGTAAATGAGTTTAACCATTGGGGAAGACAGTGTGGTGATTGGTGATTCCTCAAGGATCCAGAACTAGAAATAACATTTGATCCAGCAATCCCATTACTGGGTATATACCCAAAGGATTATAAATCATGCTACTGTAAAGACACATACACACGTATGTTTATTGCGGCACTCTTCACAATAGCAAAGACTTGGAACCAACCCAAATGTCCATCAGTGATAGCCTGGGTTAAGAAAATGTGGCACATATACACCATGGAATACTATGTAGTCATAAAAAAGGATGAGTTCATGTTCTTTGTAGAGACATGGATGAAGCTGGAAACCATCATTCTCAGCAAACTATCACAAGGACAGAAAACCAAACACTGCATGTTCTCACTCATAGGTGGGAATTGAACAATGAGAACACATGGACATAGGAAGGGGAACATCACACACCGGGGCCTATTGGGGGGTGGGCAGCTGGGAGAGGGATAGCATTAGGAGAAATACCTAATGTAAATGATGAGTTGATGGGTGCAGCAAACCAACGTGGCACATGTATACCTATTTAACAAACCTGCACTTTGTGCAAATGTACCCTAGAACTTAAAGTCTAATAATAAAAAAAACAAATTTAGTGGACAAAGTGAGTAGCTATCTTTTCTGCTTTCATCTCACTAAATCTAGTTTAATAATCAGATTGCAATAACATAATAAATTTTATAGTAAGATTGTATATAATTACCTATATATTGGAAGACAAGGGAAAATTTATAACTGTGAGTGCTGATGAAGCTAACATATTACCTGCATTTTGAAGTGTGAATGAACATTCAACAGGAATGCACTTATTTCATGGAATAAGATGTAAGATGTAAGAGATATGAAAGAAAAATATGAGTAATGTAATAAGTAATGCTTTAAAAAAAAGTAGGGAAGCCATTAATGTACTGTGACTGTTACATTATGTTCAAAATGAGAACTAAAGCCATATTCAACAGATGCCTCCCACACTTTTATCATACTCTTCTTATATCTGTACTTTTTTTTTTTTTTTTTTGAGACAGAGTCTCTCTCTGTCACCAAGGCTGGAGTGCGATGGCGTGATCTCAGCTCACTGCAACCTCCGCCTCCTGGGGTCAAGTGATTCTCCTTCCTCAGCCTCTCGAGTAGCTGGGATTACATGCATGTGCCACCATGCCCAGCTAATTTTTTGTATTTTTAGTAGAGATGGGGTTTCACCATGCTGGCCAGGCTGGTCTCAAATTCCTGACCTCATGAACCGCCCGTCTCAGCCTCCTAAAGTGCTGGGATTACAGGCATGAGCCACCATGCCCGGTCTTAGATCTGTACTTTCTAACAGAGCAACACAACCAGCATTTCTAACAAATGCTGCAAATCTTAAAGACGATGGTGTTCAGCATAATCTAAGAATACAGAGCATAAAAACCTATTTTGGAAAAAATATTAAAAGCATAATGGTAAAATTCAACACTTATTTTTAGAACCTACTGTGTGCCAGGCACTTTAAAAAATGTTTTTAATACAAGGATGAGCAAAATTGGTGAAATCTCTGCCCCTGTGGAGTGTCCAGTCTAATGAAAAAAACAGCAAGTTAAGAAGCAAATGCATAATATAGTGTTAGGTTGTGATAAGGGCTATGTGGAAAAAATAAAGTGTGGTTGAATATAGAATGACACAATGTGTGTGTGTAGAGAGTATTGTTGGAGAGAAGGCTCAGAAGTGAAAGAAATGATGAAAGAACCACACCAATATCTGATGCAAGAGGGAATAGCCAATCAGAAGCCTTAAGGCTGCAAGAGCTGGGAGGTTTAATAAACAGCAAGAAAAATAGTGCCAAAGTGATATAGAGTGGCAGAGGGAAAAGTAGTAAGTAACAGATACAAAAGATAAGCAGGGCCTAGATTCCCTGTGGCCTGGGAGATAATGGTGAAGACTTATGGATTTGTTTCATGTGGTGAAAATCTGTTGTAGAATTTGAGCAGGAAATGATGTGATCTGATCTACGTTTTTGAAAGAATCATTCTGGCTCCTGTTTGGAAAATAGCTGGGATTGGGTTGGAAAAAAAAAAAGTAATGGAAATAGAGGGAACAATCAGAAATGACTGCTGTAATTTAGAAGAGAGATAACGGAAACATGGCCTCGGGTAGTATCTACAAAAAAGGTGAGAACTCGATTTAGGATGTGTTGTGAAGGTAAAGTTGACAGGCTTTGCCAATAGAATGGATTTGGAGTGTGTAAAACATAGGGAATCCAGGCTGATTTTTAAATTGAGGGCCAGAGCCACTGGATAGTTAGAGATGATATTTCCACTAAGACTGGAAGTGAGGGGGAGCATCATATTTGGGGCAGGGAGGAATCAAAGTTTCTGTTTTGAGTGGTTAAATTCAGAATGCTTCTCAGATATCCCAGAGGAGGTGTTAATTTGGCAGTCAAGTATCTGAATCTGGACACAGAGGGGAGGTCAAGGCTGGATGTGTTAGTTTAGAAATAACCAGCATTTGGGTAAGATTAAAACCTATGATATAGGATAAAATTATCTAGAGAGAGCATTTACTCAGAGAACTCTCAATATTCAGGAACACAAGCCTATCCAGACTGGCTCAGGATAAATAAAGTTTTATGTAGAAGACAAATAGTTGCCCATGTAGAACCAAAGAAAAGGCGCAAATAAATACAAGCCCATCATCTCTCTTGGTTACATAGAATACATGAGGCAGTAAAGGATAAGGATTAAACTTTCAAGATGTGAATGTCTTGAATTCAGATGTCAAACAGAAATGAATTTGAATCTGTTTCCCACCAGCCAAATGAGTGTTTGATGAAGATGACCATGATGATGATAATGACTTACATTTCTTAATGTTTCCCGTATGTATGTAGGACTTTTAAACTTGTTCCAGTACAGGTAGGGAAAGAAAATTCACATTAGTTTATTCACACACATATAGAGAGAGTTGGGGTATCTGCGTGCTGCCCAGGCTGGGCATTTGAGCCCATTCCTGGGCTCAAATAATCCTCCTGCCTAGGTCTCCCAAAGTGCTGGGATTACAGGCATGATCCACTGTGCCCTGCCCTAAATATATTTTATATATAGCAGGTAATAAAACAAGAACATGAGGATTACAATTTTTAATCACAGAGGGAAAGATTTTGTGAGAATAACATAATTTCATATTCAAACAGCAAGTCTTTAGCTAATTCTTTGATTAAAGTATTGACAAAACCATTTTGAAAAATGTTTCTGAGGCACTTTTACCTGTGAAGTTTTGAAAGATCTACACTTTTTTTTTTTTTAATGTTTTTTTTTTTTATTATACTCTTAAGTTTTAGGGAACATGTGCACATTGTGCAGGTTAGTTACATATGTATACATGTGCCATGCTGGTGCGCTGCACCCACTAACATGTCATCTAGCATTAGGTATATCTCCCAATGCTATCCCTCCCCCCTCCCCCGACCCCACCACAGTCCCCAGAGTGTGATATTCCCCTTCCTGTGTCCATGTGATCTCATTGTTCAATTCCCACCTATGAGTGAGAATATGCGGTGTTTGGTTTTTTGTTCTTGCGATAGTTTACTGAGAATGATGGTTTCCAATTTCATCCATGTCCCTACAAAGGACATGAACTCATCATCATTTTTTATGGCTGCATAGTATTCCATGGTGTATATGTGCCACATTTTCTTAATCCAGTCTATCATTGTTGGACATTTGGGTTGGTTCCAAGTCTTTGCTATTGTGAATAGTGCCACAATAAACATACGTGTGCATGTGTCTTTATAGCAGCATGATTTATAGTCCTTTGGGTATATACCCAGTAATGGGATGGCTGGGTCAAATGGTATTTCTAGTTCTAGATCCCTGAGGAAAAAAAAAAAAAAAAAAAAAAAAAAAAAAGAGAATAGGCACAGAAGTGAATTTGCCTTGTAAACTTGACTTCTGAGCTGCATAAATATTTTACGTAATTACAAAACAAAAAATAAAAAAGCAATTTTTACAAATCTTGTGTGTTCAGTTAGGAGCACACCTTCACAGAGAGGAACTCTTCCCAATGGCTTTAAGGCACAATTGTTGTTGTTTTTAAAAATATCTTAAATAAATTTTTATTTTTATAGATTTAGAGGGTACAAGTGCAGGATTGTTACATGGATAAATTGTGTGGTAGTGAAATCTGGGGCTTTTAGAAGACACAGTAATTTGACTCTCCATCCCTAGTGCACAAAAAAGAATTAAACAATTTCCAGTATTCAGGATCCAAATGAAGTTCATACAGTGATTGTTTGAAATAACTTTTAAGTCTCTTATAATCCATATTTCCACATTTCTTTCTTTCTTTTTTTAATTTATACATTTTTCTGCTTATTGAAGAAAACTAGTTATCCTGTAGTTTTTCCTACAGTCTGAATTTTGCTGTTGCATCACCATAATATAGAAATAAAAATGATGTATGATATTTATGAGCTAATTGGAAATGTGAACATAGACTGGTTATTTAATGATATTAAGAAATTATTGTTTATTTTGTCAGGTGAGACTATACTGTGGTCTTATTAAAATGAGATATATACTGAAGAAAAAAAAAAAAAAAAGAAAGATCTACACTTGGTAAATTTAGCATCTTTTAATTTTTCTTCCCCTACAGTAATTACAAAATTCTGGAGGGGGAAAAATGTAATATTCTCCAGGAGTGAGAATGGAAGACAATACTTTGAGCTATACTAGACATAATCATTTTTGTACATGCACTTTCAGAAGAGGTCCCATGCTGTGGACTGAACTTGAAACGAAATACAGTAATTGTCTCTGGCATTAAATACCCATAGGCATATTTTTACAAGAACATACATTAGTATATGCCTGCTAGATACATAACAATGTGTGAGTATATTTTAAGAGAATCTTAATGTGACTAACAAATAGCAATCAAATTGTTCACAATTTCAGGCTCAAAATTGAAAAGAAGAGGAATTTTTTTTACTAAAAAATTATATACACAGAAAGAGTGATTCAAAGTTGAGCATTAATGCAAATTAGGATGAAATACGAGAAGTAATCCTTGCCAACCATCTGCCTAGCTTCTCCCCACTTCTACCCTTCCCTAGCAGGGGTGAGCTATTTTACCTCCTGGGGAGATGGGAAATGACAGAGAGTGAGAGGCTAATCAGAAGTTTCAAGCACCCCCTTCTCTAAAAGCAGGAGGCTGTTGGTGAGTACTGGAATTTTGTTTTTCTAATTTGGTCTTGAGGTTTCTCTCTGGAAAATGGCTGTGAATTCTAACCCTGCACTGAAAGGGCTCCAGTATTTGGGTCATGGATGTCTACAGTGACTTCTTTATCCTAGTGGATGGCCTAATGCCTAAGTGTTGCCTAGTGCCTAAGCGTCCAACCCATGACCAGGTGTCCCACTCACAGGAAACATGCTTATACCAGCAGGCACCCTCGTGGCTCTTGTCTGACCTATATCCAGTTTATTTCTACCAAGATATCCATTGTCTAGGAGAGCTTTCCCTTGGAAAGAAACTAGGTTCAGGTGTGTCAGTCAGGTGAGATGCAGAGGAGGCGATGCAACAAAAACCACACAATAATAGGAGGAGTTTATTACTTACAGATTAGAGAAAAGGGCAGCACTCCTTGCAGAGCTGATGGGAAAGCAGAGCCATTCCAGATATACATGCTCTACCAGAACCACAAAGTGCAGAGCAAAAGAGAGAGTGAGGGACCTGTGTGCTAAAGCTTTTATTGGAGTCCAGGGTATTATTAGGTGGGTTTCCATGGGAGTTCTAATTTGCGAGTTTAAAGCAAGCTGTTCCAAGTCCTATGTGGCCACGCTGTTACTGAGAGGTTGTCGCTGCAGCATATCTGTACAGTCTATGGGGGATGGAGGAGTCAGTGGGGTAAGCCAATAGGTGGTACCTAACTGTCCCTTAGGGAAGGTGGTCAACAGCAGACAATTGTATAAGGGAGATATCTGGATTGACCATATTAAGGAACTGGGATGAAATAGAGAACTGGAAATTGTGCCAAGGGTGACTAAACCATGTTTCTTGTATGAGAAAGTCCAACTTATATTCAAAATGAATGCCAAGGCAATATAAAATTACAGGAATTCACTACCATGCACCCCCATGCTCCTGAATTTTCAAGTCCAGACTCCCTATATGTAGCTGATAATATGGGTGCCAAGTAATCTGGAAATTCCTGGAATTTCTGCTGCTAATTGGAAATCCCAGCCCATTTCTTTCAAGGTAATCTGTCTTTGGGTCCAAAGTCAGCATTTTATGACACTTAGGTGCTCTCATCAAAGGTGTGTGTATGAAATGGCTTAAGGAAAAAATAGACACAGAACAGCTTGCCTTTGCCCTGTAGAGCTCTCAGGTAGGTTCAACCCATCCTGGGAATTGGAGTGATTTCAGATACTCTGAATGCCTTTGGTTCCCAAACTGCCATGGGCTTGCTGGTGGAACAAAAACAGACCTTGATACCCTTACTATGAATTATATATATGATTGGCTAACTGAAAGCAAAACCATAATGGAACATGACTGCAGACACGTATATATTCTCCAGGGGTTCCATGTTTTGTTGGGGAAAACATATCTCACCAGGTGAATGGCCTCAATGGCTGAAGGCAGCATGAACCCTAAACTCTTAGATACTTGGATAATTCATTGGGAACAACAACAGACAGAGTTGAAGCTAGTCTTTAAGAATATTCCCTACAAGCCAGCACAGGCAAAAATCTTTCAGGTATAAAATTCTCTTCTTTCTTACTGTAGTGTATCTTTGGCAACATGGGTATACAGACTATGGAAAGCTTAAGAATGTAAGTTACATTTTAGTAGCTCTGTTGGTGGAATATATATGTGTCCAAAGAGCTTTCTTAATTGGATGTGGGCTTACCCTGTTCTACTTTAGTCCAGATTCCTTGTTATTAAGCTTTTTATTGCTGCAGCATATTCTCTAAATATAATTTACTCCTGATAATAATTAATCAACATTACAGAAGAAAGCTATAAATATAAGGTGATAATATAAAATATATATTTATATGTCATATATTACATAGTAAATAAAATACATGTTAAATCAAAATAAAATAGTATTATAGGCTAAAATATATATGTACACATAAACATTTAGTGTAAATGTGCATATAAAAGGAGAAAAAAGGAAATACATTAAGATGATAATACTGTAGGTAGGTAGGGAGATTTTGGTAGTTTACTTTTTCACATATTCCAAAATATTTAATTACTATTTTATAACTTACATAAATTGTAGAATAACTTCTCTTGTTTAGTAACAGCATAGAGAGGGGTAAAACTGGCAGAAATGGATATGTTTGATCAATGTTGATCCTTCAAACTACAGTGATCCACTTCTGAGAACAGGGACTCATATTTAATGAGGGAGTAAGCCAGGTTCTTACAGAGCGTGAGATTCAGCTTCTCCTGTCATGAGATGGGGTCAGGCTCTGGGCCAGGAGAGCAATGGCCAGCTTTGGAAGCTATATCTCAGGTCACATTCAAAAGCACACATTTCCAACTCTTTTCCCAACGCTGCTTTTGTCACATTAGAATGAAATTTGCCCTCTGTGTTGAAATATTCTATAAAAAACACAATCTTGCTTAAGTTAAAATTTAAAGTTAGCTTGTCTGACAGCTGGGATGTAAAGAGACAGTGAAAGGATTCTGACTTTTGGCATTGTCAGCAGTTTCCCTTGAGAGTGGAGCCCTGTCTTTCTGCAACCTGCAGCTCTCGCTTTCCTGCTGTGACTGAGCCAGTGGGATCGTCGGCCAGGAGAGGGCGCCTCACTCAGTGAGACATAAATCCAACGCACCCTATGAGGGCACTAGGAAGGTGAAACGCAATCCTCACCTACACTTGCTCTGCTCTCTGCCGTTTCAGCATTCCACCTTAGGGCGTCAGGCTTAACTTTGCAGGTGTTAAATCTCCGTGTGTCCATGAAACACTTCAAGTACTATTTCAGCAGCTTGGAGAAATGCCAAACACAAGTCAGGAAGTTATCTCCGTCAGAGGCTTGCCGCCTCACCCCTGCATGGCTCTCAGAGAAAGCTTCCTTTCTGTAAGACACATTCCAATCATCACACTGTGGCTAAAAGGCTAAATATAGGAGAGACATTTGCCAAGATATAGCAAAGCCGATGTTGGTTTGCCTAGGCAATTTGATAAATGATGATTGTGTGCAGGTGGTGCCTAAATAGACCATAGACTACATATTAAGATAACTTATGAGGTCTGCTGGAGAGAATGGGAAAGTGGGTGTGTGTGGATGTTTGGCACAGCCTGGGGCTATGGCTATAAGAACCTGAGTCTAGGATTTGCCATAGAATATTCTGTGAGCAAAAAAGACACCTACTTCTCAGTTATAATCCTCATAAGAATTTTTATAATATTTTTTAAGCTGTGCAATCCACAGCTGTGTAACTGAGAAAAATCACTTAACCTGTCTGAACCTAGGTTTCCTCAAATATATTCAGTCTGCACTCCCAGGACCTCACTTTAAGAGAAACCTGAATCTCTTGAGCACGAGCATGTGGATGGGTGTTATTCCCTTCCTGCACACCTTCTGTGCTTCAAAGAGAGAACTTATGTAACCTTTTTCCTCATGTATCCCTGCTTTGAAACCTGTAAATTTCTATCTTTCTCTGCCCCTTTCTGACTTCTTTTATTATTATTTTCAACCTCATCGATTTCTTCAAATTACTTTCCATCCACTAAATATTTCTAATGAGCCCTGTACATTTTTCTGTACCACTGTGGAAAAAAAGTAAAATAATTTCTGTCTTAACAAAGGATTGCCGCACCCATCTGGCATTAAAAGGAAGAAGAAAAAGCGGGACACATTAAAAACAATAAGCGTTGATTTCTCTGGCTGTACCTACAGACCTGTTACTGTGAGGCCTTTAATCCATCTTCACCGCCGCTTTCTTCCCTTGCTTTGTCTTTTAAAGTTTCAGGGGACTGTCACAAACAGGGTCTTACTCAGGGCCTCCTGCTGCTGCTCTGTGGCCTTGTTGAGCCCGTGGGGCTGGTTCCTGTGGCTCCTCCTGGCCAGTTGTCCACCGCAGGTGCCATGGATCCAAGAATTACCTCTGCTGGGCACCTCCCTCCCACACAATGGCACCCTGCTTCCAGGACATGCTGAGTCCTATCTCAAGGCATTCTTGGTCTTCCCTCAATGTTGCAGAGTAATATTATTTTATCTAGAACATTCCTGTGTTGAAGCTCAGTAAATGTCAGCACAAGTAGGCAAAAGTGTATTGCTTTGGGTGGTAAACTTTCTCCATGCTCTCCCCGGACCCCTTCTTATCCACTTTACCAGCCATGTGAATGCATCCTATAGCTTCTCTGTGCTTTGTTCCAAATGGCCTGCCCCTGTGACCTTCTTCAGAGGCTGACCATGGGCCAGTCCCTCCCTCCCAGAGAGAGCCTGGAATGCCTGGTAGTGTAGTTCTAGGGAAGCCTATAGCCAATGACTGTGCAAGATTCTGAAAGCCTGACTCCCTTTCCTCAAAATGGGGCAAATTCTGACATAATTTATGGTCTAGAGCTCCCCAAAGATCTGGCTAAGGCCAGGGAGTTGGCTAAAATTGTGCCTTTCTCTGTTCTTCATTTCCTTTTCTCTTGTGTTCTTCTCCTGGCCCTTAATAAATACCCTGTTCATGATCTGTGTCTCAGAGTTGGCTTCTGGAGGTCCAGCCTTAGGTATTTGGTTAGGAGTGCAAGGATGATTTTTGGAGGCAGATTCTGAGGATGGGATTCTAGAGTTAAGTCACCAGCTAAGTGGCAATAAATACCCCATCACAGGGGGTATGTGGAGCCCAGAGGGGCCCTGACACACTAGAGCATTGCAGTTGCTAAAACTTTTACCTGGAGCGAATTAAGATGATGTCATGGGTTGAATTATGTAACCTCAAAAGATGTTGAATTTCACCCCCAGTACCTGGGAATGTGATATTACTGGGAAATAAGATATTTGCAGATAATCCAACTAGAATGAGATCATTAGGGTGGGCCCTAATTCAATATCACTGTTGACCTCACAAAAAAAGTGAAATTTGAACATGGAGACATACATGCTTAGAGGAAAGATGGTGTGAAGACACAGGGCATCCACAAGAACAATTTGAGGCCAACAGGGAGGTCATGGAACAGATTCTTCCCTACGGTTCTCAGAACCAACCTTGCCGACACCTTGATTTTGGACTTCTAGTCTCCAGAACTGTGAGATAATAAATTCCTCATGTTCTATGCCACCCAATTTATTGTATTTTGTTATAGAAGCCCTAGGAAACTAATACAGAAGGGATTCTGACAGAACAGGTATGCTAGATTGTGCAATTTTCTTTGGCTTTTGATGGTACAAGGTAAATGGTCATTACAAAGGCTGTGGATGGGTTCCATGATAAATAGACTCCAGTTGGTCAGCATAAGGCAAAGTGAGAAAGTCAAAAAGTCCCTTGGCAGCTCTTAAACAAACCCCCTTTTTCTATAGCCAAGGGAGACCATGCTGAAGACCAGGCCAGGACCAACTATAAGAACAGTGGACCTTTGGTGGCTCAGGCCTGTAATCCCGGCACTTTGGGAGGCCGAGGCAGATGGATCACCTGAGGTCGGGAGTTCAAGACCAGCCTGAGCAACATGGAGAAACCCCATCTCTACTAAAAATACAAAATTAGCCAGGCATGGTGGCATATGCCTGTAATCCTAGTTACTCAGGAGGCTGAGGCAGGAGAATCACTTGAACCCAGGAGGCAGAGGTTGCAGAGAGCTGAGATCACGCCATTGCACTCCAGCCTGGGCAACAAGAGCAAGACTCCATCTCAAAACAAAACAAAACAAAAACAAAACAGTGGACCTTCAGGGACACCCAGTTTACATCCTCAGCAATCCCATGCAACAGCCAGGAACTTGGTAAGGAAGAAATGGCTTCTTAAGACTTGGAATCAGAAAATGTGAATAGATGTCATTGATAAATGTGAAACTGCAGCTGTCCCTGAATCCTCTGGGCCTGCAGAATGGGCCCACATCTTCTTTCTAGAGGGCAGAGCTCTCTTGCTTGAAGATTGGAAGCAAGTGTACAAATGTAAGCAGAGAAGCCTAACAAGAGATTAATTTTATGGCTTATATCTTTATTAGAACTTAAATCCAATATGTTTATTAGACCTTACAGTTCTGTCTGAGAGAAAAGAGGGATATGTTAAAGTCCTCACTCCACAAGATTTGTAACCATAGGCATAAAACCTTTAAAGGATATACTTTATGGCAGTGCATTCCAAATTTACACGTAAAACAGATTTCTGCTATTGCATTTCAAATTCAGACATAAAACAGATTTCCAACTTCTTTCACCTGTTGGGCTGGTCCCATGTCATATACTCAATGTGCAGTACTCACTTCTTTGAGCCTCAGTAACATGTGAGTAGAAATGGGATCATTGTAATAAATCTACTTGCATCAACATATGTTCCTTGTCTCATAACAGCCATTTATCCCCAACCTTAATTAAATATTTCTGAGGGGTAACTAAAGAATACTGGATTGCTGTTGGTTTCAGATGAAATCTGTGCAGAGTCTGTGCCATGAAGGGCTCTGCCTATATTTTGGTTACAAAAGTTATCTTATTTTGGCAGGGTGCAATGGCTCATACTTATAATCCCAGCTCTTTGGGAGGCAGAGGTAGGAGAACTGCTTGAGCCCAAGAGTTTGAGACCAGCCTAGGAAACATAGAGAGATCCCATTTCTACAAAAAAAAATTAATTAAAAAAATTTTATAAATTTGTAAAGCTCTTTGTGCATATATTGCCTGATGTCATATTCTCCTCAAGCAGCCCCTGAGATGAGGAGTCATGTGGGAGTAATTTGTTAACAAGGTGATCTCAAAGGAAGACAGGGAAGGAGAAGGGAAAGAAGGATATGGAAAAGAGAGAACCCAAGAAAGTGTGTGATTTTGTCAAAGTCCAGCTTCAGCCTCATCCAACTTGAGGCCAGGGAGTCAGATTGTCAGACACTTGGACCAGTCAGTCATTGCCTAAGAACTGCACAGAGGGTTAAAGCTCCCCTCTCCCAGCTCCATGCAGAGATCCTTAAAGACAGTCCCAGTTGCGGCCGGGTCTGGTGGCTCATGCCTGTTATCCCAGCACTTTGGAAGGCTGAGGCAGGCGGATCAAGAGGTCAGGAGTTCGAGACCAGCCTGGCCAATATAGTGAAACCTCATCTCCACTAAAAATACAAAAATTAGCCAGGTTTGGTGGCAGGTGCCTGTAATCCCAGCTACTCAGGAGGCTGAAGCAGGAGGATTGCTTGAACCCAGGAGGCAGAGGTTGCAGTAAGCTGAGATCATGCCACTGCATTCCAGCCTGGGTTACAGAGGAAGACTCAGTCTCAAAAAAAAAAAAAAGTCTCAGTTGCAGGCCTTCGGAAGCAAAGCACAAAGCAGTTGGAAGAGGCTTACAGAAAGAGCAAAAGAATGTGGGGTATCTGTGTGTGCTGTCAACAGTGCTATTACTGTGAATGAATATCTGTGTCCCCCCAAAATTCATATATTGAAGCCTAACCCCCAAGTTGATGATATTTGGAGTTGGGGCCTTGGGGAGGTGATTAGGTCATGAGTGTGGAGCCCTCATAGGTGTGATTCCTGCCCTTATAAGAAAAGATGATCTCTCTCTCCGCCATCTAAGGATACAAGAAGACAGCATCTGCAAACCAGGAAGGGGGTCTTCACCAGTCACAGTCTGCTGACACCCTGACCCTGGACTATCCTAGGCTCCAGAACTCCAGAAATCAATCTCTGTTGTTTAAATCGCTCAGTCTATGATATCTTGTTATAGCAGCCCAAACTGACTAACACAATTATACATGTCAAAATCCTTTCTAATCTGTGGATCTGGGCTTTGCAACTTTGCATGTCTCACAGCCAGCAGAGGATTCTATTATTAATGGTAATCCATGTCAAATTTAATACTATAAGAATTTTTCATAAAATCAATTTGTTTTTAACCTTTTGGCTATCAAACTAGTTGTAATTTGAAATCCAAGACAATTAAATCTTTGTAAAATGTGGGTCTTTTTGTAAGATGACTTTAACCACAGAGAAAATGTAAAATTTTAGGAAGGGTAAGACATGTAGTTAGCACTGAGATTACTATGTGAGGCCTAATGTTATCTATGTGTAAGGCAATCATCAGTGTTACATTTCATTAGAAAGATGGCTTTTAAAAAACAACTAGCGCCAAGGTGGGCAGATCACCTGAGGTCAGGAGTTCAAGACCGGCTTGCCCAACATGGTGAAACCCCATCTCTATTAAAAATACAAAAAAATTAGCTGGGTGTGGTGGCAGATGCCTGTAATCCCAGCTACTTGGGAGGCTGAGGCAGGAGACTCGCTTGAACCCAGAAGGCAGAGGTTGCAGTGAGCCGAGATTGCTCGACTGTACTCCAGCCTGGGTGACAAGAGTGAAACTCTGTTAAAAAACAAAAAAAAGAAAAAAGAAAACTAGCCAGCTTCACAATGGAGGCAGTTCCATAATTTGTTGGGATTTTGGAATGGCAGTGAGCTACATATCTTTTCTTTCATGTTCTAACATATAGAAAACAAACTAAGTCTTTGTATATTAGCTAACTCAGCAGAACAGTCTGTGGGAGATTATATTGATCTTGAATACACAGTGCACATGTATTGGATATTGATGCATAATTTGGGTCTAATTTCTTCTCGTATCTAAATACTCGTAAACATTTAGAATGGTTTAAATGTACAGGCTCAGAATGACTTTAATAGGACCTTTAAAATTTATATTTATATATTTAAATAACTGCTGATGGCACTGTTGTTTATAATATTAGGTTTCTTGCTGACCTCTCAGAATTTTCCTTAGAGCCTGAGACAGGCCGACTGGTTGGTTCCCTATCTTAAGATTGTCTGAAGGAAAAGGATAAAAGCCCCTCAACTCAAACTCTAGCTTGTCTAACTCTCAGCCAATCAGCAATAAAAGACCAAGGAAGCTATTAATTGCAAATTTCTATTTCAGGGGGCTAGAGGCTTTCCCAGAGTCCCATATGTGGAGTCAGACTTAAACTCCAACCTAAAGTTATCTTTTCCTCATTTCAACACTAAAGTTCATGCCCAGGGGTGGAGATTTAAAATTCTAATGCTACATGCAATGTATGAAGAAACATGTTGAGCCATTGTGCAGGTGCTAGCAAAACTCTCCCTATACATTCCCTGAGGGAATCCTTCCCTATGGAAAGACCCTATACCTAACCGAACCACACAGTATCTTTGGGGAACAGCCCACTCCTTTTTGCTCTCTCATGGCTGGCTCCCTGAGAGGTAATAAACTCTCTTCATTGCTGCCTCTGGTGATCTCTCTTGATTTCTATCCTGAGAAATCACAAGATCTCAGGGCACTGGTAAGAAGCTTGTCACAGATTCTTTGAATTTCCTCAATGGTTCTGAAACAGGAGTGTTCCCTTGACCCCTTTGCAGGACTTGTGACATGAGTGACTTGTTTACTTGTTTACCATGCTGAATCCCTTATGGAAGGAAGCACATGAGTGGATGGGTGTGGGAACCAGAGCAAATGAATGTGGAACTGGCCTGTGGCTCCTCTCCGGCGGGAGCAAGCTTTGTGTGGGTTCTGCAGCAGTGTCAAAGTGTGTTACAATAGTCTTTTAGCTCTGCGGTCTGGGAGGGGCTGTCTGCGACCCCCAGAGCCCCAGAGGGCATGTGTTACAATCAGTGCTCCTTTAACATTTGCTGTCTGTGGATGGCTAAGTGTTAACCAGCTCAGTGGAAGGTCAGGGTGACAGCCTTTTACACTTTGCTGTCTTGGTACCTGAGTTCTGATCCAGCGTCCAGGAAGAATCAGGTCACATGAACAAATTGAAGGTGGTGAATGTGGAGGACTTTATTGAGTGGTAAAAGTGGGCCTCAGTGGGAAAGGGAGCTGGAAAGGGGATGGAGTGGGAAGATAATCTTCCCCTGGAGCCCGGGTGTCTCCAGCTGAACTCCTCTCTGACCATAGTTTCTGACCTCCAGCTGCTTCTTCTCATCTCAATATCCAGACACTTCTCTCTTCTGTGTGTGTGTCCACTGAGTCTGGGGCTTGGGGTTCTTATGGGCACAGGATAGGGGGTGGTGTGGGGTGGGCCAAAAGGCAACAATCAGGTGGGAAAACAGGGATAGTTCTCACTTTGGGCTGAGGGTCCAAGCTTGTGGGTGGAGCCCTTGCCAAAGATCCTGCCCTTTTCTACCAGTATTTGCCTGCCTTCTGTCCATTTCAGTTCAAGACAGTTTGTGCAATTTGGAAACAGCCAGATCTAAACAGTGTAAAATCTGGATAGTCAGGCAGAATAAGGCTGGAAAAAATATATAATTATATAGAATAAAGCTGAAAAAATTCGCTGAGTAATACTCTGTGTGTGCACCTACATGCACATGTAACAAAGTGATAATTTCTATTTCCTTAGATGTTTCAAAATGTATCTTGAACATATGACAAATATTTAATGTTTTCTGGGTGACTACATTGAAGCCCACCACTCACTTGGGACAGAAAAGTCATTTTTTGGTGTGTGATTATACTTGCTATCTTATGGTCACAACTTTTAATACTACATAGAAGCATTAATATTTTTATTTTTCCTTTAGATCCTTCACTGAATTCAACCCAGTCTACTCAACAGTTCACCAAGAGTCTTGCTATCTCCAATTTCAGGATATGCTTTCCATCACCAATACCCAGGTTAATGGACACTCCTCAACCCTTTGTCAGTCCCTGCCCAGTGTTGCCTTTGAGACTGAACTCTGGACAGCCTTTCCATGTTCTCTTTTCTGTAAAAAGGAGACTTTTTATTTCTGGCAGCACTTGCCTAGGAGATAGCAAAGTTAAATGTTGTGTTTCATCACAATCAGTCTCAACTAACTAAAACTAATTAAACACTAGGGATTTTGAGTAACCCACCTACCCTCACTAGACCCTTTCTTTATCTAACTGAAGATGTTCATGATCAAGAAGCAAGAGGCTGTCTCACAGATCTCAGCCTTGTATGAAAGGTAGTTCTCAGTGCTTAATTAGCACCAGCAGCATGGCCCTACACTTCATAGCATTTAAAACCTTCAGTTTTGCCCTTAAGTCCACCTATGCAGTTGTCCCCTAATAAGCTCAGCTCAGCTCCAGGCCACCCCTGGCTCTGTGGCCCATGGTTTTTGTATTATTCTTTGTCATCTCTAATTAGCCTCTTCTGCCTCACCACTACTTAATTATTTATCCTTCTCAGAACTTCTGGCGTGTATTGTACTATATTTTACTTTTAAAATATGTTGCCAGTGTTCTCAGTTTGTCATTTATATGACATGTTCCATGACAAAGTACATCCCTAATACAAAGCCTTAAGCAATCTCATTAAGGACAGATTGCTGATATCTAATTTCTTTTCCCATTCCTAGAGGCAGTGGTCTTCAAAGTGTGGCCTCCAGACAGCAATATCAATATCATCTGGGAATTTGCTAGAAATGTAAATTCCCAAGTCCCAGCTCAAACTCAATGAATCAGAAACTCTGGGTGTGGGGCCCAGCAGTCCTTCAGGTGTTTCTAACCACATATTCAAATTTGACAATCATTTACTCAGGGTCTCACCCTTGGTAGTATCTTAATAAATGCCTGTTAGGTTGACTCTGATAAGTCTTTCTCTCAAGCCATCTTAAAAAGCATGGAATCCAAAAATTCCAGGAAGAAATGAGAAAAAATGTTACAAAGAATGAAGTAGGGATTTTAGGTTTATGAGCAATTAGAGGGAACCGAGTCTTCACAAAGAAACACAATATCCTGATTTCCTGTCTCATGCTTGATTTTCCTACATTGTCTCACCTCAGCTGCGTGATTCCATGTATCTCACTAACCCTTCTGTTTGCCTTCTGTAAGGTTACATGTAGATTCTGAGAAAATTCTTTTTCAACTTTCTATCTCTTATTCCCATTTCACTCTATGTCTTCACAGAAAATTATCACTGCAAAGCTGAGCGGTTTCTGGAGAATCTTGGCTCATTCACTGAATTC